>NC_000012.12:115035885-115187400 GCF_000001405.40 Homo sapiens
AGGTCAGGGCCCTGCTGACTTCTGCTCTTTTCTCAGCATGGGTCACTTGGCTATAACTTGCTTGTTTTCCTCTCTGTTCTTTGGAAGAGTGAATGGGAAATGGGGAGGGAACTGGGAACAGACGGTGACCTCTGACTATAAGAAATTTTTATGCTTTTCTGGAGTCCTAAATAGATCTGAAAATTGTCTAGACAGGGCTATGGTGGGAATACTTTGATGGAGAACTTGAGGTTCACCATAGACTGCAGGACAGACAAATTGCATCTTCTATGATAATGGAGTTTGACAGACAAAGCACTATGTGATATTGTGTATGTGTATGTGTTCAAACATGTGTGTGCTTATATGAGCACTTTTCTGCCCATAGATGTCATCAGAATTTCAAATGGATTTGAGTTCCCATAGGATTAAGATCCACTGGCCTAAAATCAGGGGGAATTGATGGGAGAATTTCTGTATTGACCTGTGAAATTGAGCACCAAAGAAACAATGCCGTGGACTCGCAGAGTGCAGCTATCACACCATTTGGTCCAGGAAACCCAATTCAAATGTCTACGGTGACAAAAGGTGAATTTCAATGAGTGAGTTCAGCCAAGTGTAAGAAAAATCTTAGTGTTCAGGAGACAATATGGAGTAAGTGACAATGTAGTAGGTCAGATAGTGGAGAGCAATGCATATCCCAGATGAGGATCCATAGCTCAGCTGCATCCATTGTTGCCGTAGTGGAATCTTGACCCAACTTTGCTGAATCTTTCAGGATTTTTGAGTAAAGTCAGTATATTGTTTTGTTCTTACACAGCTATAATGAAATACCTGAAACTGGGTAATTTATAAAGAAAAGAGGTTTAACTGGGTCACAGTTCCACACGCTGTACAGGAACCATGGCTGGGGAGGTCTCAGGAAACTTACAATCATGGCAGAAGGTTAAGGGGGAAGCAGGCATGTCTTCACATGGCCAGAGCAGGAGAAAGAGAGAGCAAAGGGGTAGGTGCTACACACTTTTAAACAACCATATCTTGTGAGAACTCACTCACTATCATGAGAACAGCAAGGAGGAAATCCACCCCCATGATCCGATAACTTCCCACCAGGCCACTTCTCCAAAACTGGGGATTACAATTCGACATGAGATTTGGGTAGGGACAGAAATCCAAACCATATCAGTCAGAAATCCAGATTTCTATCTGAAACATTCTAACTTTTAAATGTTGGTTCAAAACTAGAATACTGGGCAAGCCAAACAAAATAAATACATAGGCCAGATCTAGTCTGCGGGCCTCTAGTTGTTGGCCTCTGAAAGTTTGTCTCTATCATTTTCTAGTTAGAGAAATTCCAAACCAGAAAAGGAAAGTGGTCTCTCTCCTTAAGGTCACGTAGAGAAAGTGTATGACAGAACCAGGACTCAAAATTCAGGTCTTCTAAGGCACAATGCTTCTGTCTCCTACCCTACTGGGCTGCTTAGGGAATAGCTCCTCACTTTCATGCTCTGCTGTTTCACCTCTCCAAGGAAGACCAGCAGTTATTCAGGCCTAGGTTATAGACATAGCTACTTCTTACTTATCCATCATGGGATCTATGGGAGGTTTATTGCCGTGATGTCCCCAACTCTTCTCCCATTTAGAGCAAAGGCTTTTTTTTTTTTTGAGATGAAATCTCATTCTGTTGCCAAAGTTGGAGTATAGTGGCACGATCTCGGCTCACTGCAACCTTCACCTCCCGGGTTCAAGCAATTCTCTTGCCTCAGTCTCTGAGTAGCTGGGATTACAGGCACCCGCTACCACGCCTGGCTAATTTTTGTGTTTTTAGTAGAGACAGGGTTTCACCATGTTGGCCAGGCTGGTCTTGAACTCCTGACCTAAGGTGATCCACCAACCTCGGCCTTCCAAAGTGCTGGGATTACAGGCATGAGCCACCACACCCACCCAGTGCAAAGGATTTTTTACCCCACACCTTGATTCTGAGTTTGGCCATGTAACTTGCTTGGCCCTTGGAGAGGTGATACAAACCAGGGCTTAAAAAACACTAACAGATTTCCGCTTACTCTGCTCACTCTTGAATCCCTGCCATCCACTCACGAACTGACATGGACCAGCCTATGCAAAGCATGTGAGAAACTCATGTCTCAACCAAGTCCATTCTAAATCAGCCAATCCCCAGCTAACTCCCCCAGCTGACCATAGGCACAAAAATAAGCCCTGCCTAAATCAACTGAGCTCAGCCAAGATAAACACAACCATCCAGCCTTCTCCTAGACTCATGAGACATTATTAGGTTGATGCAAAAGCAAATGAGGTTTTTGCAATTACTTTTAATAATACATGTTTATCACTTTAAGTCACTAAGTTTTGGGGTTGTATGTTACATAGCAACAGCTAAGTGATACCAGTAGAAGGGGCGAGGATTATTCACTTCATGAATAAATGATTTGGAATATTGAATCCACCCTTCCTCGTCCTCAGTCTTTGATTTTAGTCTCCTACCTTTACTTAATAAACCTCAAATAATGAACACTTATTTGAACATGGTCGGATTATCTTCTGTGTCTCAGGCACTGTACTTGTTGTTCTCCTGACTGTTATGTTAGTACATAAAAAATGTAATTACATGATAGTTTTAAGAGGCAGGACAAAAACAAATAGAAAAGAAAATGTGTAGCCATCCAGGTAGGGAGGCTTCTTATAAAGAGCCCTCGAGTCATGCGAATCTGGTTTGGAATTCTATTCCCATTGCTTCTTTGATTTATGATCTTAAAGAAATGACCTACCTCACTAACTAACCTCAGTTTCCTTACTTAAAAAGTGAGAATGATAATGCCTATATTATTATGAGGAATAAATCAGGAAATGGTATCTGATGGGAATTCATTCATTTGCAAGAAAAAGTTAATTGGACAGTGACTAACGCCATTAAGACATTCAATTATCTCACACAACAAGGAATCTGGAGGCCAACACCTGCTGGGATGGGTTTATGGCAGAACGATATCAGAGGAAAGTCTCTAAGATACTCTTAGCCTTTACCTCATGGTTGTAAAGTACCTGCTTCAGCTCCAGAAATGATGGCCACCTTCCAGGTATAGGATGGGAGAAATGTCAGATTTTTTTTTTTTTTTAGGAAAATAAAGTCTTTCCTGGAAGCTCTCAGTAGCTTTCACTGATGTCTCATTGGCCATGATGTGGCTCAGGTCACATCATGACAATTCATGATAACTTATGGCTGCAAGAGAAGCTCATAAAGGAGGAATTTGACATTGCACCCTCTAGAATTGCAGGCATGGGAAAGAGGAGAGGTAGGGAATGGGAGCTGTGTTAGCCAAACACTGGCATTCTCTGCAGAGTGTCAAGGGGTACTTAGCTTGGAATAGGTGCTCAGGAGCTAATAATTCCTCCTCATAATGCACTTTTTTTGTTGTTGTTTTTGAGACAGAGTCTCCCTCTGTCACCCATGCTGGAGCGCAGTGGTGCAATATCAGCTCACTGCAACCCCTGCCTCCTGGGTTCAAGCGATTCTCCTGCCTGAGCCTCTCGAGTAGCTGGGATAACAGGTGCGTACCACCATGCCCTGCTAATTTTTGTATTTTTAGTAGAGATGGGGTTTCACCATGTTGGCCAAGCTGGCCTCAAACTCCTGACCTCAGGTGATCGGCACACCTTGGCCTCCCAAAGTGCTGGAATTATAGGTATGAGCCACCGTGCCCTGCCCACTTTTTAGAAGTTGAAACTTGCTAATGGCTTTAAAGGAGAGGAAGATTTGTTTTTTTCTGCTTTATGTCTTCAGGTAGATTAGGTTTCAGAGTATTTTCCCAATTATAGGAGAACCAGACTGGAGCGCTCTCTGGGTTCACAATTTCTTTCCATGGCTGTGTATACGCTTCATGCATCCCTTCTCCTGACTCCCAACTTTGGGGACTCTGTGTCTCCTTCACCCTAACCCTGTAACCCTGTAAGCCTAGTGGGGCTGCCCATGTTGTCACTCCACCACTCCTGCCAGGCTTTTCATGGTCCTTTACTAGATTAGGTATGCAACTTTGGTTATGGATCACTTGATAAACATGGTAAGATGCAGATTCCCAGGCCAAACCACTAAAAATTCTGAATCAGTATGGTAAACTTGGAGAGGAGCTGGAATATATGCACATGTAATTCACATCCAAGATGGTCTTTGAGAAACACTTTGGGAAACATGGTCCTAGGATCTTGAAGCTAATGGTGCATGAGCCTAGAGCACCTATGGCCACTAGGCCACTTTCTCATTGCCTGGAGAAAGTCAGAGTTCAGGAAGACACAAGAAGGCAGCATGCAGAGAGAAGCAGAGTGAAGAAGTAAAGGAAAAAAGAGAATAGAATTTGAGTTCCTAGACACAGTGGTCTGTGAGGACAGCTCCACCCCTTTTCTTCCTGAGGCTTTAGTTGTATAAATCAGAGTGTTCTTTATTTCTTTCTAAATCTTGAACTTCTGTGACTTAAGAGGGCTACTCCGTAGATATGGGGAAGTACTGGTATACCGGCAGGTATAACTGGTTTATTTGCAACATAAATCTTTCCGAAAATATAATCCATAATATTCTGTAAGTAGACCAAGTATACTTAATAATACCAAGTATATCATCAAGTATATATTAAGTATATAACTTAGTAATACCAAGTATATCAAGCACAGTGGCTGGGTTATGCTGCAGTAAGAACCACCCTCCAAATCTCAGTGGCTTAACATGAGTTTCTTTCTTTCTCCTTTCTCATACTACATACACTACGCATATAGGCCGGAGGATTTCTGCTCCATGAAGTCTCTCAGAGATCCAGGCTGATACAGAGTTCATCTTAACAAGTGCTTTCGTAGTCACCACAGCAGTGGGAAATGAACATGGAAATCATTGATCATGGCTCTTAAAGTTTCTGTTCCAAAGTGACACAGGTACCTTCTGTTCATATTTCATTGGCCAAAGCAAAGCACACAGGTATGCCTATCCTCAAAAGAGGACAAGAAGTACAATTCTTCTAGGTGCCTGAAAAGAAAAGAATTAGAAATATTAGATTAGTGCCACTATTGCCTACTGCACCAGAGGAACTCAGTGATTTAAGATAGTTTTAACAAAGGATGAATAAAAATATGAGCTAGAATATATGACAGCCTGGGGTGGACCAGGCATTTTGCCTACATTATATTACTTAATAGGTACCCAGCAAGACAGATATGGCTACCCCCAATTCACAGAGGGGAAAACTGAGGATTAGAAAGTTTAGACAAGTGACCAAGTATACTCAGCCAATAAGTGATGGCTTTAGCTTTGAATCTGGCTTACTCTTTCCCCCAAACCCATACTTTTAACCACCATGATTTTATCATTTATTCAACACTTTCTTTCGGAAAACCCACATATTTTCAAAATGCCAGCATTAAGGAAGACATAAAGGTGACTCTTGAGGAGTTCACTGTCTGGCCACTAAAATATTCATGATCTGTCTTACATGGGGTGAGAATTAAAGCAGGGGAATCAGCAATAAAATCAGAGAGCCAGTATTAACACAATACATGATTTAGCTTTCTCAGAGATTAAATCTGGTGCTCAGCAGCTTATCAACTTTCTCTAGTGAGAGCCTGGTATAATCTCACTGTGAAAAAAAGGCTTCTGCTATCCAAACCCTCCCTGAAATGTTTCTTGATAATTTTAAAAGCCATGTTTTAAATAATATATATTATTATACAGCAAATATTCACTCCCTCCCTTTACTAATGTGGGCAGAGATTTTCTGCATGCTGCTAAGTTTGGGCTTGGTCATATGACTTGCTTTGGTCAGTGCAATGTTAGAGGGCATGATGTATGCATGAGTTCTTAAACATGCTTGCATGTTTTGGTTCAGGTTTTGAGCTTTCTTAATCCATGTTGAGAAAGACATGACTTAGGTAGTCACTGCCCTTTTATCTAGGACTCCAGAATAAACACACGTGCAGCGTATGTGGAGTCATGGAGCCAAGCCAGGCCCACGTCAGCTGAGCCGCAGTTGATTGCAGACCCATGAATGTGAGAATAAATGCTTGTAGCTATTAGTCACTGGATTTGTGGGATGGTTTGTTATGCAGCATTACTACAATAGCCGACTAATACACCATTTATCCTGCACGCTGGTGGGAGATGAAAGTTGAACCCAAGAACATTTCATGGGTCATTTATTTAGGACTGTTTAATCTGGAGAGGTGGAGTGGATCTCCAGATACTTCAAGGGGCCTGATGGTCTCTTGGCATAAGGAAGGGCACAAGACTGGCGATTAGGAACACTTGAATTCTAATCTCAATTTTGACTCACACACGCTGTTTGAAGATGGATATAAGTTATTCGCCTTTCTTGTTTTTATTGTTTTATTTTCTGTATAAGGGCTGGTCTAGATTGTAATGGCAAATAGGTCTAAATGACCACCAAGATTAATTAGTGATGGTTGTCTGAAGTCCTCACAAATTTGGAGGATGGATCTAGGCAAGGGATAAAAGTTCTGGAATTGATTATTGATGTCTGCCATGGGCACAGATTTTATTTTATTTTTTTCATTTCTTGCCCACTCTATATATCTGGGACCATAAGAGTATAAGAAGCCAGCCAGTTGACCTTGTGCCCTGACAAAGATTGAGTCAGAGAGAAATTGGATCTCCTGTGAAAGAACAGGAAAGAACAGGAGGGACTGGAGTTCACAGACTATGTGAGGTTAGGGTGACTCTTTTGTAAAATTCTTTGCATTTCCACAGCAGAGTGTCTGTGGAGAGTTGCAGCTGTGAGAGTGAAGTTGGCAGGCTGCTTGGAGCACACACCCCTTTGCCCATCAAATTGTGGGGAATCTAAGCTGACAAATTCTAGGGCTTTAAGTATTAAAGCTGATAAGGAGCGTTCAAAGGGGCTGAGGGGGAGCTGGCAGCTTTGGCTCCTTTGAGGGCAGGTGCAAGTCCTCATGAGGGGGTGATGGGTACCATTTGGTCAATGAAACAAAATGGCCAAACCTGTGGCCAATCAGAGTTGAGTAAGAATCAAAGTGGAGGCATCCAGCCTTCCATTTGTCCATGCATTTTTCATTGAGGAATTTAATTGGCTGGCCCCAGGTGCTAGTTTTGAAAGTATGCCCTCTTCTTTAAAAATATGCTTACACCTGGCGTCAGGGCTCTTTCTACAGGCTTTGGATTAACCACTGAGCATCATATTTTAAAGCAGCTTAGAGAACATAGATTCAAAGATTAGTCTGCACACAGGGCGGCTGTTGGAAAAAGCAAGGGCATCTTCTTGCATGGGTGAAAAAAGAAAATCAGCCAGAAATTTGCACAAAGAAAAAATGTGTTGGTCTTATTCCCTCAGGGTCCAGTTCAGCCACCTGTTTGTTCACTGTCCTTGCTTGTCTGGCCACAGTGAGGTCGGCCAGGTCAGAGGCCTATCACCAGGCAGGGATCCAGTCTGCCTTGTTTTCTCTTGCTTGTCTGGATCCTAGCATGATGTCTGGCACATGCAAGGACCTCCATAATCATTTTCTGAAGGAATGAATGCCTGCCAGGACAGATGTGTCCACGATTCAAGCATGCATGGGAATAGCGTTAAGCAGAGGGGGAGAAATGAAAAGTCCATTTTATGCAAACTTGGGGTTGAGACTTGGCTGTCAGTTTGATAAGCATTACAGTTAAAGTTTTCTAAGCACTTATTGTGCATCAGACACTGTTCTAAACCCTCCACATGGATGATCTCCTTTAATGCTCATGTCAAAGCATGGGAGTTAGATACTATTGTGATCTACCCTTAGATATCCATACCTAGCAACATGCTGAGACACTGGAAGTTAAGTAGCATGCCCAAGATCACATAGCTCATAAGTGATCGGGCCAGGATCTGAACCCAGGAAATCAGATTTTATAACCCCCATTCATAGGCCCTGTATTATGTATTTAGAGCAGTGGTTCCCAGTCACCTGGAGGGCCAATTAGAACACAGATTGCTGGTCCCTCCCACCCCTCCAGAGTTTCTGACTTTGTTCTTCTGAAGTGGGAGAATTTGCATTTCTTACAAGCTCCCTGGTGATGTTGATGCTGCCGTTTCAGGGATCACAATTTAGGAAATATCATTTAGGGGTAATACCAAATGTTGGTGACTTAACACCATTTCAGTTTACTTGTCGCTCACATAAAAAATGTGAACGTTTCTAGTTGGTGAGTAGTATTCCTTCATGTAGTGATTTTAGAATCCAGATTTCCCCTATCGTGTGGTTTCACCTTTCCCTAGGTTCCGATAATCACCGGCATTCAGCTGGCATGAAGTGAAACCATAGCAAGATGAAGGCTTCTTAAAAAATTTGGTCTGAAAGTGTCATACACGGCATCTGCTCACATTTCATTGGCAAGAATTAGTCCCATGACTGTACCACTAAGAAAGGGTAGCTGGGAAATGTAGTCCTTGTGTGGATAGTGGCTTCTGAATCCCAACTTTAAACTACCATAGAGGGAGCAAGAATTCTGGTACATAGCAAGCGAACTCTGCCAGAGACGATAAGGCATAGTGCCTCTATGTCAAAACATGTAGGCATCAGCTATTGAGAGTTCAGACAATTGTTTTTTCCAAGTCAGAGAAGTGGTGTGCTTTGACAATTTGTTCTAAGACAATATGGAAGTGAATATTTCTTACTTCTGCTTTTGCTATCAGCATGTCATGGCCAAAGATAGGACTTAGATGAGTGTCTAAAGCAGAGATTCAATAAAATATAAGCAATGCGTGTAAGCCCTGTGTGCCTGTGTGTGTATATATATATATATATATATATATATATATATATATATAAATAATTTTTTTTCTGGAGAGTCCATAGAATCCATCAGATTTTTAAAGAAAATGGAGACCAATAAACATAGAGAACTATAGTTCTAAGAGAACATGGGTTTTTCCTGACCACTCAATCTCATTATCTCATTATCTCATCACTGTGAACTGCATCCTTCTTTTTATTTTATTCCTGAAAATTATCAGTAACTGATCATTTACTTTCTTGCGCTGAGAGTGATGGCTCATGCCTGTAATCCCAGCACTTCGGGAGGCCGAGGTGGGTGGATCACTTGAGGTCAGGAGTTCGAGACCAGCCTGGCCAACATGGTGAAACCCTGTCTCTATTAACAATACAAAAATTAGCCAGGCGTGGTGGTGCATGCCTGTAGTCCCAGAGGCTCGGGAGGCAGAGGTAGGAGAATCACTTGAATCCAGGAGGTGGAGGTTGCAGTGAGCCAAGATCGTGCCACTGCACTCCAGCCTGGGCGACAAGTGAAACTCCGCGACAAAAAAATACATATGTATATTATTCGTGTTTTCTTATTTGTTTCCCATCTGCTTCTCTGATTTGAATGTCGGCTGTGTGAGGGAAGGGATTTTGGTTTGAGAATACTTTCCTCACTGTAGTATTCTCAGTACCCAGTGCAGTATCTAGTTCATGGTAAGTGTTCAATAAGCAATTGATGCATAGATGCTTGGAGTAACAAATATGAATTAAAATATCCTAGTATTATGTTTTGGAGTGCTTGTACTCAAGATTGGTTTTTAAAAAGGAGGGCTTCTACTTTGATTACAGCCACAAGTGGGGAACTGCAATTAACTTACAATCACCAGTTCTATCAATATTAATCATATTTTTCAATGAAAATAATAGCTAGCATTTACTGAGTGCTTATAACTTTCCAGGCACTGTGCTAATCTTGGTTAGGAGCTTTTGTTTAAACAATTTATCTGCAAAGCAGCAAGCTCAATAGAAACACCTCGACTTTTTTTTCCTACAGTAAGATCACTAAAGAATTTTAATCCTTATAGATTAGGCAGACATGGCCTGTGCAACCTTAAACCATAGCCCTGTCCCTCTTGTTTTAAGCAGCATCTAGCAGAACTTTTATAGAAATGTGTGTTGGGTTTGTTGTATATCTTTAACGCTCAGCATAACACTTTTTTTTAGGTCCACATCTGTCTACAATCACCCTACGACCCTATCCAGTGACTGGTGGTGGTGGAGTGTAGAGGATTGTTGGATACTAAGAATGACGATGGGGAATTATGATACTATGGAGTATGAATGCTAGATCTTTCCATCATGCAGTGCACACATAACATGCCTATTTATTTATTTCAAAAAATTGTCACTGATGGGTAAACTCAGGTAGATTATTATCGTTGTAGAAGTAATTCAGCAAAAGAAGAAACTCTAGATCTAGCAAACAATGGGGTGTTACCCACCTCTGTTTCCAATTCATTTTATTAAGTAGAAGAACAATAGCAAAGAACAATCACTAATCAATAAATATTAATTGAATGCCTATTATTTACCAGACACTGTTTTAGCCTAAGATTCTAGAAGTAATTAACTCTAATTTAATATAGACCTCTGATCTGAAGAGGTCTATATTCCTTAGTGGAAAACAATACAAATCATTTATTGACATTTATTTTGGACATAGGCATTGTACCAAACACTTTATTAATATTAACTGATATCAGTTAACTGACGTTAACTGGTTTAATCTTAATAACAATTCCAGAAAGTAGGTACTGATATTCTTCCCATTTAAAGGCCATAAAACTGAGGTTCACGGAGATTAAGCAATATGCCTAAGGTCATTCAAACTTAGGTCCAGATAGCTCCCAAGACTCTTTTATTAACCACTATGTTGTATTGCCACCATTTGTTTGTTATTAAATGAAGGACTAAATTTCTCATTAAATTACCAAGAGTAGATCTGTTAGCTATTGCTGCATAACCATCACCAAATCCCAGTGCCATATAACAATAAGCATTTATTCCTCCCATATCTGCAGGTTCCTTGGGGACAGCTCTACTGATCTCAGCTGGGCTTGCTCATATGTGTCTGCAGATTGCCTGGAAGTAGGTTGATCTAGGCTGGGCTTAACTGAATAGCTTTTGCATCAAGTTTTAAGTCCTCAATCCAGTTGGCTATCTCTGCTCTGTGCATCTATAGTCCTTTTGGGACCAATGATCTATCTAGGACATGCACTTCTCGTAAAGATTGTGAAGGTGGAAGAAGACAAGCCATGTGGTGCAAGCACATTTCAAGTCCTTGTTTATGTCACATCTGTTAACATCCCATTGGCTGAAATAAGTCACATGGCTGAACCTCAAGTCAATGGATGAGGAAGTGCACTTAGTGTGTACACTTAACTGCAAAGTTAGATGGCAAGGGGCACAGATAGAGGAATACAGTTAAAATCTAAGCTGATAATTCAATCAACTACAGAGTAGAAGATAGTTTTTATTATAGAGCTGCTGCAGGAATTTGAAACATGGCTATTGAAGTCTTAAACTCTTTTTCTAGAATTTAAATATAAGAACTCAATCAGCAAAGTGACTTAGAACATACAGATGTCTGTCATAGCTTTATTCACTCACACCAGCAAACAATTGCAAAATACCTGTGTGTCAAAAATTAACAATGATTAACTTAATTACATCTCATTTATAGACTGGAATATTTTGTAGTTATTAAAAGTTTTGTGTTTTGGAAAAGCATTTAAAAGAATAAATTGCATATGATATAAAGTTGAGTGGGAAAAATGCTGGATATAAAACTGCAAAGGTAATATGATCTTAATTGGTGAACATTCAACACATAAACACACACACAAACAACATATACACGCAACATATACACACATACAGACCAAAATAAAATTGACAAAAATAACAGTGGCTATCTCTAAGAGATGCCATTAAGGTTGACTTTAATTTTTTTCTTTAGTCTCTTTTTTAATGCCAAATTTTTTTATAATGAGCAAACTCTATGAACAAACCACACAAGATGTGCTACTTTAAAAAATCTGTCAAAGACACTAATTTTGAGTGGTCTGAAAAGTATCTTCTATAGAGAAAAGTCAAGTCACCAGCAAAGATTATGAAATAGAGAAAAAAATTACAATGAATGGTGATATAAATTGGGCATTCAACGTAATCAAATATATTGTGGCATATGTAAATACTTCCAATTTATAATTTTATAGACGTCTCAACATACTACACACATAAACAATTTTGATTGCATGGGACAATTATACACGCAGATTTGGAAGTCTAAAGTTGATCAATATTATCTGGATGGACAATAAGCTCATAATGTAGCATAATGGATTTTTAAAATGCAGCATAAATCTGCTTTAAAAAGTATCTAGGCAGCCAATATTAAGACACAGCCACCAGTTTCTAGACTGTGACTTCATGTCAGCACCTCACAGAATCAGCAAGTGCAGGAACTTACACAATGAGTACCTTGCTATGGGGCAGAAAATAAGTTCCTAGGATCTTGTTAAAGTACCCTTGTATTCAAACTGACAGATCAGGATGGTTGTTTTTCTTTTTAAAACAGGAAAGAAGATGGAAATGTTCAACCAGGCTCCTTCTCCCAAAATGTAGAACTAGTTTATGGAAAAATACAAAAAGTATGAGTTAAGGAAGGCGCCTTTTTAAGCAAAAGCAGACAGATGGAGTGGCTGATGTACAGACAGACTTTGGATACATCAATTAACGAGAGCCATTCATTCTAGCAGCTCTAAGCCTTTGTCCTTGTGGAAAGTGGGACTGCTTTCTGAGGCTAAAGCAAATAAATTGGATGGATTAATCCCTGAATTGGAGGCCCAGGAAATAAAGAAGTCAATAAAGGAGAGCTTAGGGTACATTACTATTTAGTACCCCCTCACACACTTTTTAAAAGCCAACTTGGAATTTTGTTGAGTTATTCATCCCTACTGCTCTTCTGCTTCTGACATCTTAAAATTAATAAGTAATAAAAACAGATATAGAAGCTAAAATAATTTCACATTATTCACGCATGTATTTATTCCTGCCTTCACTGAATATAATTGCCACACACCTACTGTGTTTCTGGCCCAGATGGAAGAAACTGAAGTTATGCTTTACATGCTGTGTCATTTTAACATTCTCAAAATCTCACTAAAAATGGGATCCGTTAGATCAATTCAAGAATAGATAAAACCAAAACAGAACAAAAATACCAGCAGAACCAAAGGTAACTCAAAGATGCTGCACCAGTGTAGTTAGCACACTCAATTCAGTTCAATTCAATTTGTAAAAATAAAGTTAGAAGGGTTCTTAAATAACTTTGACCTTAAATAACGACATTCAGTCTTTAATCCAGTTTGAGTGTTTGTCGAGGAATCCTGCCATAAAAATGTTTGACTCTCTGTAATTGGTGGTTGGGAAGATTAGAAAGACAGTGAATCTTTGGTACCTATTTTCTGAATTGGGTGAATGAATGAAAGAATAACTGAAAAGTTAAATATTGTTAATAAAGCCAGATTTCTTCACAAAGGGTCCAGACACATGACAACCCATGATGTGGAAACGATCTAATAATAGCAAACGATGACAAGCATTTAATGAGTTCTTATTATGTCCTAAGCATCATTCTAAGTTACTCCACATAAGCTAAGTTGTTTCATTCTCACATAATAACTCTATGGGATAATAGTACTATTATCCCAACCACATTTTATTATTGAAGAAACTGACACACAGAAGGAGAAAGGTCACAAAGTTAAGTGTGGCAATCAGAATGGACGTGCATTGTCGCCCAGCCTTACTATTATCCTCTATATCCTCTCATTATTTCAGTCAATTCCTTCAATAATTATGTAAAGTATAATTTAATCAAAGAGAAAACTAAGCTCAGAGAAGTGACCAAGGTAGGATTTGAACTCAGGACTAAAGTCTTAACATTTCTCTTCAGTAAGGTTATCTTCACACTCAAAGCCATTATCCCTTATGGAACTTTTGGTAGTCAATCTAAAATTGTTCCTTTAGAACTTTGTACAAGAGATCATTGTCATCCTGGGTGTTCTTTGTATTCTTCATACTAGAAATCCATAACACGCCAAATGCCCTTAGAACCATGGACAGCACCCAGGTTTTACAAATGTCTTCTCCAGGCTTCAGAAGGAAGGTGGTGGACATTCTTTCCATCATGACACAAACCAACAATTACATACCAGGCTTTGTTGGTGAGAAAGCAAGGTGGCCCACCTGGAGATTTATGCCGAAACAACCACTTTACAACACAACCCACGGAGTCCTTGACGTTGGCTTGGTTTGTCAATCCCACCACCTCATACCATTTAGAAACTTATCAGCTATTTCTAGATAACTGGGTGTTTTAGTTTCCTGTAGATAAAACTGAAGGCTAAATTGAATATATGACTAAGTTATTTACTATGAGGAATCTTAGTCCAGGAAAACCTCTCAAAATACACAAATGTCTGAGAGATGTAATATATTTAATTAATCCCTTACTCCTTTTATTTTTATTTTTTATTTTTTCAGAGACAAGGTCTTGCTTTGACACCCAGGCTGGAGTGCAGTAGTGCAATCAGAGGTCATTACAGCCTCCAACTCCTGGGCTTAAGTGATCCTCCTGCCTCATCCTCCCAAGCAGCTGGAGCTACAAGTGTGCACCATCATGCCTGGCCCCTTTATTCCTAAACGTTTCTTCATGAAGGAAGATACAAATTTACATGAGCCCATGCTCTTCACATGGGTAAGGGGAAAACAGAGAGAACTCACAGGGCACCCACATATTGTGCTTTATCATTTGACCTAGGAACAGTCTTGAATAGGCAGCTTGGGTTTCTACTCCCAGAAAATACTTTGACATACATTAATTTATTCACTTAAAACTCATTATTTCCTGGGTTTCCATGCAGTGTCTCTGAAACTCACTCTTCCCCCTTTATTCTCACAATATTGTAAATATCCTTAATATAATCTATCCTGCAATTTCTTATTGCTGCATGCCCTCCTTCCTTCTTGGAGTGTGAGCTCTTTGGTGACAGGGACTACATATGCTTTCTCATCCTTCCAGCACCTGTAACTGTTTCTGGCATATGTCGAGTAATCGATAAAAAACTTTAAGATCTGCTAATGAATCAAGTTATCGGTGATTGTGCCTGGTATCTTTCATTTATTTATACATTTATCTGTGTGTGTATTTGTACATCCACCCATGAATTTATCAAAGCATCATCCATTCATTCACCCACCCACCCATTTTTCTCCATGATCTCACCCCATTAACAATTTGTAGAAAATAGTCTGACAAATTCACCCAAAAAGGCAGTAAAGGAAAAGGATTTTCCATCCATTATCCATTCTTTTTTTCTGCCTTAATTTTCCTTTCTACCATCTCTCCTGCATATCTCTTCCTCTGTCTCTGGAGAGTTACAGGAGTGAAAACGAGATGGGTCCTGAGAGTTGGTATGGGGAGTAAATTGCTTGGTGACAGCTTGGTTCCAGGGACGGATGAAAACCTTAGCCTTAAGCAAAGTTCAGGGAAGCCCAAGGAGAGAGCTGATGGACAGTCTGACTTGTTGAGGGTGAAATCAATTAAAGTACATCAAATCCAGAATTCATGCTTTCTCAGAGTGACAAATCTATGCTGGAAACTGAGAAAGACGAAAGGAGAAAATTGCCTTTGACCTTTTGAAGACCGGCTGTTCCTTCTGTCAGGGGAGCCAGGCCTGGAGTGAGATGCGTTCATGATGAATTATAACAGCCAGCCACCTTAAAAAAGAACGGGGTGAAAAGGTTACCAAAGAGAACCAAAATGTGAGGAATTCAACCAAACATCAAGATAAATCAACTCAGGGCCAGGAGTATTTGTGCCATGCCTGCTCAGAGCCGCTATGGACAAGCTCAGTTTGTTAGTTCAGCTCTTTGAAGCATGATATGTAGACACACTTGCATGTTCACACACATTGTTTGCTAAACTGTGGGAAGGTAATCAGAAGAGAAGAGCCACGAGGTTGTCAATCTAGCATCAGAAATTTGGTGGCATAGGATTTCTCTACAATGCTGTCCACTAAAACTTTTTGTAATGATGAAGATATCCTATAGCCAAGCTGACCAATACAATAGACATTAGTCATATGTGACTGTTGAGCACTTGAATATGGGTAGTGAAATTGAAGAACTGAATTTTTATTTTTAGATTTTAATTATTTTAAATTTAAGTAGCTGCAGATGGCTAAAATTGAATGGTGAACTTCCAGGACAAAGGATGTTTTTGCCTTCAACAATATCGGAAAAGCAGGGGTGAGTGGAATGTCAGATTGCAATGCAATTGCTTGTGTTTCTGCGGAGTTCATGGAAGAAACTCATTATACTCATTTGTAATGCTTGATGGTAAATTTGATTTTCTCTTTAGAATGTAGAGATTAAATCTTGGTTTAAAACTGCCTCTCTGTGAGCAGTTTCTCCATCAGTGAAACGGGTGTAATTTCAACTCGTTGAGAGTGCTCAGTTATGCAATATATGCAATGTTTCTTATCTGTGTCTGAAAACAGTTAATAAAAGGTTGCTGTGCTTGACGCTATTACTATTATTAGTATTGTGATTTAAAAACAAAGGAGGTTGTTGGTGAGAAAACAAGTTGTTCCACCTGGAGATTTATGCTGAAATAACCACTTTACATCACAACCCACGGAGTCCTTGATGTTAGCTTGGTTTGTCAATCCCACCACCAGATACCATTTAGAAAATTGTCATCTGTTCCTGGATAACTGGTGTTTTCGTTTCCTAGAGATCAAACTGAAGATTGAAGAACAGAAATCATTTGTTGACAATTGTCCTAGTTTCTTACTGGTTCCTCACTGAGGGGAATTTTCCAAATAACTATGATTTGCATTCTTCAGCATCCAGATTAATATTACCTTTGCCAAATTTGAGTCATTTTGCCTGAAAAGCATTCTTACCAAGTTTTACCAAGTTTTAATATTTCCTGTCTTTAGAAAAAAAATATACAACAAGACTTAACCTTTTAAAATTTTTTTCTGAAACACACACACACACATCCATATGCACACAAGCACACACACACACACACTTACCCAGAGGCATAAAATTTACATAACATAAAATTAACTTTTGGTTGCTTCCACCTTTTGGTTAATGTGGATAGTGCTGTTATGATACAATAAGCTGTTCAATAATTCGTTTCAGTACCTGTTTTCAATTCTTTTCGGTATATACCTATGAGTAGAATTGCTGGATTGTATGTTAATTCTATGTTTAACATTTTGAGGAATTGCAAAACTGTTTTCCATAATGGCTGCATCATTTTACACTCCTACCAGCAATGTAATGCTCACCAACACTTGTTATTCTCCTTTTAAAAAAATTATAACTATCCTAGTGGGGGTGAAGTGGTATCTCATTGTGTTTTTTTATTTGCATTTCCCTAACAAGTAATGATATTGAGCATCTTTTCATGTGCTTATTGGCTGTTTGTATATCTTATTCAGAGAAATGTCTATTCAAGTTATTTACTTATTTTATTGCCTAATTGCTCTGGCTAGAATTTCTCATGCAACATTAAATGGCAGTGATGAAAGTGGACACCCTTGCCTTATTCCTGATTTTAGGAAGAAAGCTTTCAGTCTTTCATAATTCTCTGTGATTCTTACTGTGGGGTTTTCATAAGCGTTCTTTCTCAATTTAAGGAAATTCCCTTCCATTCCTAATTTTATGAGTATTTTAAAAAATTATCAAAGGTATTGGATTTTGTCAAATGCTTTTTCTGGGTTGTATGAGATTACATATTTTTTCTTTGTTCTATCAAAATGTTGCATTACATTGGTTTTCTTTTTCTTTTCTTTTTTTTTTTTTTTGAGACGGAGTCTTGCTCTTGGACTCCTTGAACCACCCTTGGACTCCTGGGGTAAATACCACTTGGTCATGGTGCATAAACCTTTTAATAAGCTGTTGAATTTTGTCTGCTGGTATTTTGTTATGGATTTTTGCATCTGCATTAATTGGTGTGTAATGGCATCTTTGTCTAGTTTTGATATCAGGGCAATATTACATTCATAGAATAAGTCAGCATGCATTTCCTTCTCTTCTCTTTTTTTTCTTGGAAAAGATTGAAAAAACTTGATGTTATTTCTTCTTTAAACATTTGGTAGAATTCACAGGTGGAGACATAATCTTTTTTTTTTTAATTCAGTCTCTTTACTTGTTGTGTTATAGGTTTGTGCAGATTTTCGTTTTCCTCTTGAGTCAGTTTTAGTAATTTGTGTGTTTCTAGGGATTATTATACTTCATGTAGGTTATATAATTTGTTGGCATACTGTTTGTTGGCATGTTGTTCATAGTATTCTCTAAAAAGCCTTTTTATTTCTGTAAGGTGGATAGTAATGTCTCCACTTTTATTTCTGATTTTAGTTATTTGCATCTTTTATTATTTTCTTTTCTGTTTTTTTTTTTGTTGTTGTTTTGTTTTTGTCAGTCCAGCTAAAGGCTTGTCAATATTCTCAACCTTTCCAAAGAACCAATTTTTGGTTTTGTTAATTCTCTTCATTGTTTTCCTGGTCTCTTTTGTTTATCTCTTCTTTTGTTTTCTTCCTGTCATTATCTCTCTTCTTCATCTAATTTTTAGTAAAGTTTGTTCTTATTTTTCTAGTTCCTTAAGATGTAAAGTTTGGTTATTAATTAGAGGATTTTTCTTTTTCCCCTCCCTGAGATGGATTCTCACTCTGTTACCCAGGCTGGAGTGCAGTGGTGTGATCTCTGCTCACGGCAACCCCCGCCGCCTGGGTTCAAGCGATTCTCCTGCCTCAGCCTCCCGAGTAGCTGGGACTACAGGCAGCTAATTTTTGTGTTTTAAGTAGAGGAGGAGTTTGCCATGTTGGCCAGGCTGATCTTGAACTCCTGACCTCAAGTGATCCACCCACCTTAACTTCACTCCCAAACTGCTGGCATTACAGGCGTGAGTCACTGCGCTCAGCCTAATTAGAGATTTGTTTTAAAGAAGGTGTTTATAGCTATAAAATTCTCTCTGAGCACGGCTTTCACTGCATCCCATAAGTTTTGGTATTTTATGTTTTTGTTTTCATTCGTTTCAAAATATTTTACAATTTTCTTGGGATTTATTCTTTGAGTGTGTTGTTTAATTTTCACATATTTGTGAATTTTCCAGTTTTCCTTCTGTTATTGATTTATAGTTTCAAGTCATTGTGGTCAGAGAAGATGCTTTGTATGATTTCAGAAGTTTTAAATTTATTGAGAATTCTGTGTGGCCCAATAGATGGTCTATCCTGGAGAATGTTCCATGTGTACTCCTGATCCTGTTGGGTGGAATGTTCTATATATGTCTGTTAGGTATATTTGATTTATGGTGTTAAATCATCCATTTCTTACTGATCTTCTATTGAAGGTTCTATTCATCATCAGAAGCGAGGTATTGAAGTGTCCAACTAGTACTGTAAAACTGTCTATTTCTCTCTCAATTCTTTCACTGTTTTTCTTATATATTTTGGGGCTTTTGTTATTTTGTGTGTATATATTTATAATTGTTACATCTTCTTGATGAATTTACTCTATTCTCAATATATAATGACGTTCTTTTCTTTGGGGGTGGGGGGTCTGCTTCTGAGAGTAGATAAGTCTGGTCTCTTGGCCCAGCCTGTCTCCCTGGGGTATGGTGGGGAAGGGGTGTCACATTTCCTCTTTGCTCTCTTTCTTTACTCTTGAAAGATACCATTTTTATATTTAGCTTCCTCAATGAGTTTTTGGGTTTGGGGACATTTTCTTCAGATGTGATAATCTTCTACACTAACTGTGGGTCTCTTGTTCCTATAAGTTTAAACACTTAATTCAATATTCTCTCTCTCTCTCTCTTTCTCTTTCTGTCTCTCTTTTTCTTATTGCTTTTAACCAGATATCACTAGCAATATCATTAGTAAGAGTCACATGTGAGCCTAATTATTTGCTTCTCCAAATATATACAATAAATTTGAAATTGTCTTAAACCAATAAATCTATTTTTCATGTCAGACTTAATTTTAAGTTTTATTTTAATTTTAATTTACACATAATGCTTGCACATATATAAGGAGTACAATGTGATGCTTTGGTACATATATACATTGGTACATATGTACATATACGGTACATTTGGTACGTATTTATACTGTTTATATATATATATATATAAAACAATAGGTAATTAATTTATTCATCACCTCAAACATTTATCATTTCCTTTAGTTGAGGACATTCAAAATCCTCTTTTCTAGTTATTTTGAAATATGCAATACAATACAATATTGTTAACTATAGTCACCCTACTGTGCAATAGACCACCAGAACTTATTCTCCTACCTATCTGTAATTTTGTTCCTACTGACTAATCTCTCCTCATCCCCTACCCTCCCCAGACTTTATTAACCACTATTCTACTCTGTACTTCTATGGGATCAGATTTTTAAAATTCTTCAAGTGAGTGAGATCATGGAGGTATTTATCTTTTTGTTTCTGGCTTATTTCACTTAACATAATGTCCTCTAGATGCATCCATGTTGCCATAAACGACAGAGTTTCAGTTTTTTTTAAATAGCTGAATAGTATTGCATTGTGTGCATGTACAACACATTTTTCTTATCCATTCACCCATTGATGGCACTTTGATTGAATCACTAGGCTTTTGTGGACAGTGCTGTAATAAACATGGGAGTGTAGATATCTCTTTGACGGACTGATTGCATATCCTTTAGATAAATACTCAGTAATGGGATCGCTGGGATCATATGGTGGTCCTGTTTTTAACTTTTTGAGGAACCGCCATACTGTTTTCCATAATGGCGGTACTAATTTACAGTCTCACCAACAGCATGTAAGAATTCCCATTCCTCCACGTATAATGACCTTTATCTCTTGTAGGAAGTTTTGACTCTTTCATCTGATACTAGAATAGCCACCCCCACTCTTTTTTGGTTACCACTTACATGGACTATATTTTTTCCAACTTTTCACTCTCAGTCTATTTGCATATTTAGATATAAAGTGAGTCTGTTGTAGACAATATATAGTAGAATCATTTAAAAAAAATCAATTTGCCAATGTCTGTCTTTTGACTGAAGATTTTAATCCATTACATTTAAAGTAATTACTCATAAGGAAAAACTTACTTCTACCATTGTTATATATATTTTTTATATAGTTTATATCTTTTTTGTTCCTATGTTCCTCCTTATTGCCTTCTTATGGTTTAATTGATATTTTGCAGTGAACCGTTTTGATGCCCTTCTCATTTTCTTTTCTGTATTTTTAAAGATATTTTCTTAGTATTTACTAGGAGCATTACATTAACATCCTAAATTTATAAAAATTTAGTTTGAATTTATATCAATTTAGCTTTAATACCATACAAAAACTGTTTCTATACAGCACTTCTCCTGTCTATGTTATTATTGTCACAATGTATTGTCTTAATACATTGTGCACCATCAATACAGATTTATACTTACTGCTTTCTTTGTTTACCTAAAAAATTCTGTAGCATTGAGTCTCTTAGTATGACTTTGAGTTACTATCTAGTGTCTTCATTTTTGCCTGAAATACTCTCTTAAGCAGATTCGTAGGACAATCTACTAATGAAAAACTTCCTCAGCTTTTGTTTATCTCAAAATATCTTAATTTTTTTCTTATTTTTGAAGGATAGTTTGCCAGATATAAAATTATTGGCTAACAATCTTTCCCACCTCACCCTTTTTTTCAGCACTTTAAACATGCCATCTTGTTGTCTTATGGCCTCCTTGGTTTCTAATGAGAAACTGGGTGTTTCTGTTATTTGAGAATCTCTCATAGTTATTTCTCTCCTCTCTTTGTCTTTGTCTTTGTCTTTTGACGGTTTGATTACAATGGGTCTTGGATGCCTTAGCATATATCCTTGTCATTCATTGGGTTTCTCTCAATGAAACACTTGTCTTGTGTAAACCCTTGTCTTTTATCAAATTTGGGAAGTCTTTAGCCATTATTATTCAAATATCCTTTGTTCCTCTTTCTTTCTTCCCTCTCCTTTGGGACTCCCACTGCACATATGACATTTTAAGGTGTTCCACAGGTCTCCCTGGCTCTGTTCATCCTTCTATATCCTTTTTTACTTCCTGCAACTCAGACTGGATAATGTCAATTGACTTATTTTCAAGTTAATTGATTCTTTCTTCTGCCTGCTCAAATCTGCTATTGAAATCTTGTCATAAAATTTTCATTTTATTTATTTTACTTTTAAACTCTAGAATTTCTCCCTGGTTCCACTTTATATTTCCTCTTTACTGACATCCTTTATTTGTTAAGATATCCTTCTCTTGGTATCCTTTGGCTCTTTTTCCATGTCTTAAAAAAATCTGTTTATATTTAAGACAGTTGGTTTAAAGTTTTTATCTGGTTTGACATGAACTGAAGTACAATGCCTGTGCTTCCTCAGGGGCAGTTTCTGTGGCTTTCTCCCATTCATGGTCCATACTTTCTTCTTTCCTGCAGGCTTAATCATTTTGTTGTTATTGAAAACTGGACATTTTGAATATTAAAATGTAGTGATTCTGGGCATCAGATTCCTCCCCTTCCTCAGAATTTGTTTTTGTTGCTTGCTGTGGATTGTAGCTGTTGATTTGTTTAGTGCCTTTTCTAAACTATTTGTGTACATTCTGTAGTCTTTGTAATGTGTTGCCTCTGAAGTCTCTTTCTTCAACTTGTGTTTGGCTAGTATTTTGAAAGAAATTTCCTTAAGCCTTAGGAACTCCCTCCCTCAAAGAAGAAAGAAAGAAGGAAAAAAGAAAGAAAAGAAAAGTACACAAATTATCCCCGTCTTTTCAGATTGGCTCTGTATTGGAACATACTTTTAAGGTGTAGTCAGGCCATTTACAAATTAGCCTTAGCTTTCACTTCCTGTTTGTTCCAAGCCTAAATATTAGCCAGAGTTAAAAACTTATGAAGACCATAAATTAACAACTTATAGTCTTTTCTGATCATGCATCCTAACCTGGGAATGCACATGGACTAAATTCCCAAGTATATATGATGGCTTTTGAATGCCCTAATTTCCCAAAGAAACTCTCTCCTTAGCTTGTCCTCTCAGGCTTCCTACACATTTACCATTTGCCTCAACTGTATCTTTCATCCTAGCCAACAGTCAGTTGTTCATTTGCTTTATAATGTTTTGAAGAAATGTACTCTGAGTAGCTACTTTTCTGCCCAGTTCCAATTTGGGCATAATAAAGACAAGCACCCTGGTCATTCCTTCGGGTAGCCCCCAGACAAGTTAAAACAGACAAACATAATTCTTTGACAGTAAGGTCTACTCTGCATCCCTTAAAACCAGAACCATGGTCCCACCCTTGGAAGACAGCTGTCATTTTCAAGACCACCACCAAGCAGAGAAAGAGGGTGGGGCAGGGCAAGGAAACAGTCACAAAGCTTTCCTACCATTCTAAAGTTGCTTTTACAAAATTTCGCATTTGATTAATTGTTATAAACCTTTGACTATTTCCCAGAGCTCTGAAAATGTTGAGTGTGCCCATTTTTGCTTGATCTTTCAAAGCTGCTGTAGGGAGACAGGTCCTTGGAATTACCTGCTTCATCAATTTCACTGATATTCACCCCCAAAGAACTAATATTTATTGTATGCTCAGGGGTCCTTCTCTACCTCAGTTACTGTGTGGTGCTGAAACAAACTCAAGGATGCCTACAAGTTCAGATACAGAAGCCTACTTCTCTTACACCAAATGGCCCTATATACTTAAGATTTATGTGTGTTTGTGAGTGACTTTTGGAGTTCATTATCTTTTTTCTGTGTTAACATCCATCTTTACAGCAGTATGTAATGGGCTTCTCTAAAAGCTCTTTTGTTCTCCCACTAGGATGACCAGCTGTTCCTGTTTGCTGGCATCCACGCGGTTTCCTGGGATGCAGGACTTTCAGTACTAAAATCAGAATCTTAGGCTAACCAGGATGGTGGTCACATTAGTTCCCACCTGACCACACACACACACACACACACACACACACACACACACACACTACTATAATGTGTTGCTTTTGATATAAGTAGTTCATCAAGCTGATTAGAAGTTCAGCCAATTTCAGGCTCTTGGCTGTGTTTCAGATGTATGTGTGCATTACCTAAGTGACCTTCAAAATTACTTTCATGTAAAGGATAGAATACTGCAAATAATAATTTGCATATGCCTTCTATAGAAATGCAGACCCTTGATTATTTTAAATTTCCTATTAGAGTTTAATTTTGTTTACTTTTCCTGAAGGCCATCCATTCATCTACCCTCACTTTCATCCCAACATTACTGGCTCTAGAACACTCTACAATAATGAATTCTGACTCTAGAACAGAGGTTCTCAATGGGAGGTGGGCAGTTTTGTCCCCCAGGGAATCTTTGGCACTCTTGGTTGTCACAGCTTGGGGGAAAGCACTACTGGCATCTAGTGGGTGGAGGCCAAGGATGCTGCTTGACATCCTACAATGCACAGAACAGACCCCACCATGATCATCTAGCCTCAAATTCCATAGTGCCGAGGGTGAGAAACTCTGCTTTAGAAGAGTACATGATGATATAAGTAAGGTCAGCAAGACAGTTACAATAGACTTTAAAAGACTGGCCAGGCACAGTGGCTCATGCCTGTGATCCCAGCACTATGGTATCACAGGAGCTGGGGCAGGCAGATCACTTGAGGACAGGAGTTCGAGACCAGCCTGGCCAACATGGTAAAACCCTGTCTCTACTAAAAATAAAAAAATTAGCCAGGCGTGATGGCACCTGCCTGTAATTCCATATATTTGGGAGGCTGAGGCAGGAGAATTGCTGGACTTGGGAAGCAGAGGTTGCAGTGAGCCATGATTGCGCCACTGCACTCCAGCCTGGGCAACAGAGCCACCATCTCAAAATAAATAAATAAATAAATAAATAAATAAATAAATAAATAAATAAATAAAGCTCTATGGAAATGTTTTCCCTTGTGTTTTAGCTTGTTCCATGTGAAGCAACCTTTCTGCTCAGATATTCCCTGGCCTGCAATAGAAGCTCCAGTTTGGGCTTTGGAAACTCAAGTCTCAGGTACATTGAGGTCCAAATCACTTGCCACTTCTTTCGTTTACCAGAACCTTTTGTTGCAACAAAAGAGTAGGAGGCATACACCATGTGTTTTTCATTCATTTATGCTGAAATCATTGTAACGTTTCATTTTTTATGAGCCATTTGATGTCCAAAAAGCCTTTTGAATCACATTTATAACCCTATAAAAAACTCATTCCTCTTCGAAACAGGAAGCCACTTTGTGAGCAGAGTAAACACACTCAAACCCTGGAAGGTGGGAGTTGAGAGGCTGCAAATGCCTCTGGGAGCCTCTGCCAGGGGTGAAATGCCTTGACTGCCCCTGAGGGAACCTCCTTGTGGCCCTGGCAGGTCAGAGGGGCCTTCTCGGCTAAGTCAGAAAGCAGAGGCCTGAATGGGCTCTCCAGGGTGGCCTTTGTAAAGGTCTTTTGCCAATAGGCAACTCTCCTTGGACAAACACTTGTGGTTGGTGACCCTCTTTGCAGGAGAAAGTGTGCTTGGCTGATTCTGGGCCCTCTCTCTGCATTTCCTCGAGATGCTCATCCTCTACAGGCCTCTGTCCTCTCATGTATACAGTGAAAAGCTTGGACCAGGTGATCTCCAGTGGCCTTTCCAGCTCTTGTGAGCTAGGCCTCTCTTTAGATCTCAGAGGATTGCTTCAGACACAGAAAATTCATGGCACGCTCAGTACCACTCTCCCATTCAGCATCCATGACAGACATCACTAGTTGATAACAATAGCCTTTTCCACTGCCCTCAGGTATGAATTCGAAAATCTCTTTTGACAGAGTTCTTCAGGGAGGCTCTTACAATTGTGTAGCATTGGCAGCACACACAAGAAAATGGACCAATCTACCAACCACAGACCAGGTAATAATAAAGAGTGTAATATCAGTTTCTCTAGAGCAGAGGATTTAGCCAAGACCCGAGTGCATAAACTTAGGAAATAAAATGCAAAGTAGGCCGGGCGTGGTGGCTCACACCTGTAATCCCAGCACTTTGGGAGGCAGAGGCAGGTGGATCACAAGGTCAGGAGATCGAGACCCTCCTGGCTAACACGGTGAAACCCCATCTCTACTAAAAATACAAAAAATTAGCCAGGCATGGTGGCGGGAACCTGTATTCCCAGCTACTTGGGAGGCTGAGGCAGGAGAATGGCGTGAACTCGGGAGGCAGAGCTTGCAGTGAGCTGAGGTAGTGCCACTGCACTCCAGCCTGGGTGACAGAGCAAGACTCCATCTCAAAAAAAAAAAGAAAGAAAAGAAAATGCAAAGTAAAATCAAATCAAGTGAAAGAAAAGAAAAGTAAATAAAAACTAAAGCTGAGAATCACTTGCTGCGTGACCTACAGTAGGTGATTGACTTCTCCCAGTCTTGGTTTTATGACCTATCAAAGGGTATATAATAAAGCCCACCTTCTTATTTTAGTTTCTTTCTTTGCCTTCCTTGTTTATTCAGTGTTTTTTTAATAGTTGACAAAGTGTATTCACATTCATCACAGTAATGACAATGTCCTATATCTTTAATGCTAAGACACACTGCTTTTCATATTCTCTTGTTTCTGAAACCAAGATGAGTCTTACAATCATTGTGCACAGTTAAGGCACCCAAGTTTCCTATTTTCCTCCATAAAACAAAAGTAATTTTTAAATCCATGACATTTTAGAACATAGTATATTTCTAACAGCAACCCAAGTACGTCACAATAGCCTATAGAGTAAGTGTTATTCACATTATACATATCAACATCTTAACATTCTCCTTCTAGAGATGCAGAAACTGAGACTCTAAAAGGTTCTCTTGCTCAAGGTCAGAAGGCAGATAAAGGACAGAGTTGGGATTCGAACTGTGCGCTTTCTGATACCAAGCTTGCTCTCCTTACCAACTTTCTCAGTTTGACCTCACATAACCTTGTGATGGGGCAAGAGACACCCTGCTCTTTTTCAGGTGCAACCATGGATACCAGGACCATAAAGTGCCTTTGTCTTGGGGTCACTTCGAGAAAACATTGTAGATCCAGGGGCTCTGAGCTGAAGAGGAAAAACCATCATAGTGTTCTGTAAGTTATGGATGTTAATCTCCCATTGTTTGTTGGCTCCTATGCTGAGGACTGCTGCATCCTTCCGAAGTTTTAAGAGGCCCAAGGGAGCCGGGGAGGAAAGAAGCTTCAACTCGTTAGAAAGTTTAAAAAGATGTATTTTCCCAGGGAGACTTCAGCAGATGGTCTGTGACATTTGTTCATTCATTCAAGAGGCAGCTATTGAAAGCCTAGTCAGGTTCAAGACACTTGGGTGAGTACTGAGCTCAGAGGGGTGGGGGTGGCAGGTAGACGGCACATGAACTTATGAAGTAGCAGTGAAACAAGTTGAAAGGGTACCAGCTTGGGAATCAGTCTCAACTTGAGTTGAAGGCTAGTTTTGCTACTCTCTAGCTGTGTGACTATGGGTACATGACTTCACTTCTCTGTGCCTGGATTTTTTTATTTGTAAAATGGGGATGGTGATAGAAGGCTACTCATGGGCTGGTCGTGTGGCTTACTTAAAAACATGTGTGTAAGACGCTGAGCTTATTGTCTTGCACATAATAAGCACTCCATAAATATAGGCTGAAACCATTTATTTATTCAACAAATTTACTGAGCTTCTACTGCACACCAGGCACTGTTCTTAGCACTAGATAATAATGCTGATATAGCCTGGATGTTTGTCCCCTCCAAATCTCATGTTGAAATAGGATCCCCAGTGTTGGGGATGGGGCCTGGTTGGAAGTGTTAGGATCATGGGGCCGGATCTCTCATGAATGGCTTGGGGCTCGCAGTAATAAGTGGGGTCTATGGGTTCACGTGTGAGAGCCATTTGCTTAAAGGATCCTGGTACCTCCTCCTCTGTCTTGCACCCTTCTCTCTGGCTCCCTCTCTCACCATGTGACATATCTGCTTCCCCTTTGCCTTCTGCCATGACTAAAAACTTCCTGAGACCTCACTAGAAGCTGAGCAGATGCTGGTGCCATGCTTGTACAGCCTGCAGATCCATAAGCCAAATAAACCTCTTTTCTTTATCAATTACCCAGTTTCAGGTGTTCCTTTATAGCAACACAAAGTGGACTAACACAAACATCAATGATTATTATTGCCTCAGGGCAACCTACAGATCTAATCTCCTTAGACTTCACTGAGGTATCATGCAAACTGAGTTGGTTCTCAGTCCAGGAGGTGTGTGTGATGGAGTTACCAAGCAGAGGCACCTGAGAATCTTGAATTCCCCAGCTGGAGAAGGTGGCCCCACTGCTGAGTAGAGGAGTGGGTTTGTGGATTCCTAGAGAGAAAAAAGGGGATGAGGCATATCATACCCTATTTCAAGGGCTGTTCAAATCACTTGTTCCTCTCAGTTTTCAATACTTAGAGTCTTTTTTTGATTGAAATACAAAGAAGGGATGGTGGACTGTGCGGGATAAGGCCACAGCCTGGGGCAGGAGGTCCTTCAATCCACTTTTAGCTCTGGTTTTGCATCCTCAGTCTTCCACATCTGCATCTGGTCCCATCTTGATGAAGTGTGTTCTTATTTTGAATTTGGACTTGCTCCCTCCTGACCAGTGGTGATGATCACCACATTGATGTTGCAGATAATGATGAGGACATTGATGTTGTAATAGATGATAAAGATGATATTGTTATAGATGATGATGATGATGATGATGAAGATGATGCTGATGGTGATCAATTGCCATGGACCAGATGCATATCAACGCAATTTTACATATGTTCTTCCTAACCCTTGTAACAACTCTGCAAATTAGGCCTTACTGTTGCATGTGGTAAAGCAGAAATATGAAGCTAAGAAAGGAGATGTGACTGTTCCAAGGCCACGTCACTAGGAAAAGACATAGCTACTTGCATACCTAAGACTCTCACTCCAAACCACTCGTTGGACCACTAAAATTCTAATATTGTATAGTGTTTGCTAGACAATCTTTTCAGAGCTTTCCATGTTTTATCTCATTTAAACCCTACTAACTCTTTGAGTTAGGTACTGATACCATTTCTATTTCAAAGCTGCAGAAAAAGAGGCAGAAATGCATGTAAATTGGCCATGGTGAGATAGCTGGTCAGTGGTGGATCGTAGATGTCTACCTAAGCAATCTGACTACAGAGTCTGTACTTTTCATATTTTTATTTTAAAATTACTATGTCTTTAAACCATGTGCAGTACTATGTTTTTAAGCCATGTGCAGTGGCTTATGACTGTAATCTCAGCACTTTAGGAGGCCGAGGTGAGAGGATCATTTGAGCCCAGGAGTTCGAGACCAGCCTGGGCAACATGGCGAAATCCCATCTCTACCAAATAAATAAATAAATAAATAAATAAAACAATTAGCCTGTAATCCCAGCAACTTGGTAGGCTGAAGTGGGAGGATTGCTTGAGCCTGGGAGGTTGAGGCTGCAGTGAACCCAGTCAAACCACTGCACTCCAGCCTGGGAAACAGAGCAAGACCCTGTCTCAAATAAATAAGTAATATGCAAATAAAATAATGATGTCTTTATTTTTATGGATGTCTAATGTATATACAGCAACGCGCACACATGTTATGCGTCATGGTTAATTTCATGCATGTGCGCATCTACTCTAAACAAGTCAGCTTTTAACCCACTAAGCCATGCTGACCTAATCCCCAGAGTTCAGTGTTGTCTTGGGATTGTCGGACACAATTTAACACACCCAGATTTATCTTCTACACATATTCGTTATGTTAATATGCAGTCATATGACACTTACTATGTTTCAGACAATGCTCCAAGCAACTTACATATATGAACTCGTGTTAGCGCTATAAGGTTGCTACTATTCCTATAATCATTCCCATTCTCTAGGTGTGAAAACTGAGCTGTGGAAAAGTTAAGTGACTTACCTAAGATTACACAACTGTTGAGTCTAATTCACACAACTGTGAATTAAACCTGGAAAGTCTGGCTCAAAGTCCTTCAAATGCTTCCTTAAATACACACATAATTTCGACCAAGAAAGTGCTGTTATCAATCCTACTTTATAGACCCAACAAGGTTAAAATAACTTCCACAAATACCTCCGCTAATAAGTCACAAACCTCTACTGAGATCTTTACTGATTTCCAAGTGTGTGCACTCCACTACCGTGGTGAAAAAAGTCTGAACATCTTTGCTGTGGATGGGAATTATTGATGTACTTTTTTATCCCCTTCTGGGAATCCCAAGTTTATGCAGAGTAGGAGTCCACCTTATTGGGTCTTTGCCATCTGCAGTTACTGGTCCTGCACCACACACTCTAGTGAAGCCTGGGAGAGGAAGGAAGGCTCTAGAAGAAACGTGCTTGCTGTTCAGGGAAGCAGACCCCTGGCACCACTTTGCTGAGGCCATGACCAAATAAATGCTTGTCTGTCTCCCCACCTCACTTCTATACACCCCCCTAAGCGCCTGGGTCTACCTTTCCCTAGCGTTTCCTGGGGGAATAGTAAATCATGAGTTTCCCATTTTCCTCCATCTCGAAAGGATATGAATTCTGTAAATCTTGGCCTGAGTGACCATCAGGATGCATAAAATATGACAGGAAAGAGGCCAGGGAGGCAGCGTTTGTGTAGAGCACAGCGTCCAGCAGTGGGGATGGGCAGACTGGGGGTCCTTGGGGACCCCTTGGGCTGGAGTTTTGCTGCAGAGAGAAGCCTCAGCAAAGCAACCTCTGTCTGTAATAGATGGTTATGGCCACTTCCATGCCAAGGTCTCAGGGGCATTGCCACAATATGGGACAGAAGTGACAAACTGCAGAAAATCGAAGTGGCCCCTGCCCTGCCCCTCACTGTTGGCCCTTGATTCCCAAGAGTGAAAGGAGGGAAGGGAGACCCATTCATTAGGGCTGACAGGGCAGCAGGAAGGACTTAGCTGTGATGAGAGGAAGAACTTCCTGCAAGGAAAGGTTATTAAGCCCTGGAATGAGTTATTGAGAGAGGTGGTGGAAGTAACTTCCTGATTTTGTGATCAAGATGGATAGTTATTGGTCTCGGGGAATCCAGCTCAGCCTCCCGGCATGGATTCCTGACCCCTTTAGGGAGATCACGCATCAGCAGCATCTGCCTCCAGTCATTTGCAAATGCTCAGCGATGATAAAACCCCCCTTTGACAACCCCCCTCTGCTTTTACTTCTTTTATTTATTTATTTTTTTCTATAAAATTATTACACGTTCACTGCAAATAAAGAAATCCAAATGCTCTAGGCAAGAAAAAAAAGTGAAAAAGAAAATTTCTCTTTTACTTCTCTCAGCAAATCCCACGGTGCTTTCTATAGACAACTACTGTTAAGATTTTGGGGTCAATCTTAATAGACTTCTTTTCTGAATGCATATTCACACAAACACGTGTACACAGTGATCTTTGTACAATTTTTATGTTTAAGCATAGATGGGTACATACTACATGCATTGTTCTGATATTTCCATTTTCTTCTGTTAATATCATGGGCATCTTTCCATGTCAGTACATATATTTCATTCTCATTTTTTAGACAGTTACTTCATATTTCATAATATGGATATGCCATAATTCATTTAAGCATTTCTCCATTGATTTACTTACAGATTGCTTTCCAAATTTTGTGAATGCGAAAATGCTGCAATACACTGCTATTACTTGGATCGCTGTACATATAACGACATTTCTTTAGAAGAGAGTTCTAGAAATGAAACTGCCAGAGCAGAAAGGATTTTCAATGCTGTCAGATAGAATGTAACTGCTCTTTAGAATGAGGTAAAGAGCTTATTCCTATTGTTAGTGAGGGTGTAGGGAAAATGATTCAACCTTCACCAACAATGGTTATAGCACCTTAAAATGTCTGCCTATGGCTTATCCCATGTGTATGCATCTCTTGTTTCTAACGTGGTTGACCGTTACTGTATATCTTTACTGACTACTCATATGTTTTACCCAGTTACTTCTACCAGTTTTTTGTCTTTTTTTTTTTTTTTTTTTTGAGACACAGTCTCGCTCTGTCGCCCAGACTGGAGTGCAGTGGTGCGATCTCAGCTCACTGCAACCTCCGCCTCCCAGGTTCACGCCATTCTCCTGCCTCAGCCTCCCGAGTAGCTGTGACTACAGGCGTGTGCCACCATGCCTGGCTAATTTTTGGTATTTTAGTAGAGTCATGGTTTCATCATGTTGCCCAGGCTGGTGGCGAACTCCTGAGCTCAGTCAATCTGTCCACCTCAGCCTCCCAAAATGTTGGGATTACAGGCGTGAGCCACATCGCCCTGCCTTAGCTCCCACTTCTAAGTGGGAACATGTGGTATTTGGCTTTCTGTTCCTGCATTAGTTTGCTAAGGAGAATGGCCTCCAGCTCTACCCAGGCCCCTGCAAAGGACATGACCTTGTTCTTAGTTGTGGCTGTGTAGTATTCCATGGTATGTCTTTCAGACTATCTTACATGTTGGAAAGATTTTCTTCCACCCTATGCTTTCTTTTATTTTCTGTCTTTTCTTTTCTCTTTTATTCCTTTTTGAGACAGGGTCTCACTCTCTCACCCAGGCTGAAGTACAGTGGCACTATCATAACTCACTGTAACCTTGACCTCCTGGGCTCAAGAGATCCTCCCACCTCAGCCCCTTAAGTAGCTGGGACTACAGGTGTGCACCACCATGTCTGGTTAATTAAAAAAAAAATTTGTAGAGACGGGGTCTCAGTATGTTGCCCAGGCTGGCCTTGAACTCCTGGGCTCAAATGATCCTCCCACCTCAGCCTCCCAAAGTTTGGGATTATAGGCGTGAGCCTCCATGCACTGCCCTATGCTTTATTTTCTTTGTATTCCTTTTATTAGTTAATTCTTCTGCATAAAAACTATATTAAAATATGTTTTGCTATAACTTGTTAACTAAAACAATTTGTGTTTATTGTAGAAAATGTAAAAAATAAATAAAATGGACAAAAGACAATATAAATACACAACACTATTGAACTGTATGCTTAAAATAGTTAAGATAGTCAATTTAACGTTATGTGTATATTATCACAATTTGAAAAATAGGACAAAAGAAAAAAATCACAATTTTACTTCCTAGGAAAAACAGTTCTTTCTCCTGGAGAAAGAACTTTCTTTCTCTGCATTGATAATGATGAATTGACTAGTTTCTAACCTTTTAACCTTTTACTACTTGCTGTGTCATGCCTATGTTTTAACATAAAAAAGCCAACATGATTGTTGATGGCTATGTGGTATTATGTGGTACTAATAAAACTAGTATGATAGTTTTTATTGAGTGGGTACTGTCAGACACTGAGCTAGACCCTTTTCAGGTATGCTCTCATTTAATCCTAACAATACAAAATACAAGACGGTTGCTATTATTAAAGCACTTTCTCAGATGAGAAAACTGGTGCTTATAGAGGTCAAGTCATTCACAGCTGGCAGACAAGAGGTGAACTTGAATGCAGCCCCCACACGCTCATGATATTCTTTCTAGTGTCAGGGGCTATGTGGTACCTAACCCATCCTCAATTCTTGAAAAGTTGGCTGCTCCCAGTGTCCCGTTCATCCTACCAATTGTAAATCATCCTGTAATTCATTCCTTCATTCCTTTTTCTTTCTTAGACGCAGGGTCTTACGCTGTTGTCCAGGCTGGAATGCCTGGACTCAAGCAATCCTCCAGCCTCAACCTCCTGAGTAGCTGGGACTATAGGCATGCACCACCACACCTGGATAATTTTTCAATTTTTTTTGTGTGTAGATACAGGATCTAGCTATGCTGCCCAGCCTGGTATCAAACTTCCGGCCTCGAGCGATCCTCCCACCTTGGCTTACCAAAGTGATGAGATTACAGGCATGAGCCACTCTATGCCCGGACCCCATTCCTTCTTATTATCATCTTATCCATTTTATGTTCTTGACTGTCCCTCCTTTTCCTGCCTTTTCAACACTCATAACCCCATGCGGGGAAGCATAGTACAGGTAAGAGCATAGAATCCTCACATCTGAGGCCTGGCTCCATGCTTTTCTACCTGTGCAGCCTATAGCTAGATATCTAAAATCTCTTCATCTTAATATCCCCACCTGCACAGTGGAGGTGATATTAACAGTCTCTATTATAAGGTGTTTGTGGGAGCCAGATGTGGTGGCTCACGCCTGTAATCTTAGCACTATGTGAGGTAGAGGCATGCAGATCCCTTGAGGCCAGGAGTTTGCGACCAGCCTGGCCAACATGGCAAAACCCCATCTCTACTAAAAATACAAAAATTCGCCAGGTGTGGTGGCGCATGCCTGTAATCCCAGCTACTTGGGAGGCTGAGGCAGGAGAATCGCTTGAACCCAGGAAGCAGAAGTTGCAGTGAGCTGAGATCGCACCACTGCACTCCAGCCTGAGTGACAGCGAGACTCAATAATAATAATAATAATAATAATAATAATAATAATGTGGTGTGGAAAATACACACACATGCTCTCTCTCCCTTTCTCTCTCTCCCGCTCTCTCTCTCACCCAAACACACACTCATACATTGACACACATCCATACATATATATGTACCTATTGTATTAGTTTCCTTTTGCTGCTGTAACAAATTGCTACATACTTAGTGACTTAAAACAATAAAAATTTATTTTCCAGGGTTCTGGAGGCCAGATGTCCAAAATGAATCATATAGGACTAAAATCAAGGTGTTGGTAGGGCTGGTTCCTGATTCAGCAAAAAATCAGCCCTTTGCCTCTTCTAGTTTCTAGTGACTGTGGCAACCCTGACTCAGGACTGTGTCACTACAGTTTCTGTTTCTGCATCATATCACCGTCTTCTCTCCTATAGTCACATTTCTTTCCTGCTTCTCTCTTTAAGGACACTCTTGATTGCATTTAGGGCTCACCAAACTAATCCAGGATAATCCCCCCACCTCGAGCTCCTTAATTTAATCATGTTTGCAAAGACCCTTTTGGCACACAAAGTCGCATATTCACTGGCTCCAGGGATTAGGACCTGTTTATTTCTGGGGTCTTTATTCAGCCTAGTATATACTTATCTTTTTAAAGTAACTCCTGCTATTGGGGGGCAGATATTTCTGATTCTTCCAACAGGCCTTGGTATCTGTGATAGGAAAGGCAATGCACTTCTCTTTATACATTTTAACCAAAAAAGTAATTGTTTTGGAAAATATGGGTTCCTTAATTCTGTAAAGTTCTTTCAAAATAACTTTTTTTTTTTTTTTTTTGAGATGGAGTCTTGCTCTGTCACCCAGGCTGGAGTGCAATGGCACGATCTTGGCTCACTGCAACCTCTGCCTCCCAGGTTCAAGCAATTCTCCTGTCTCAGCATCCCAAGTAGCTGGGATTACAGGCATGCACCACCATGCAGGGCTAATTTTGTATTTTTAGGAGAGATGGGGTTTCACCATGCTGGTCAGGCTGGTGTCAAACTCCCGACCTCAGGTGATCCGCCCACCTCTGCCTCCTAAAGTGATGGGCTTACAGACATGAGCCACCATGCCCAGCCTCAAAATAACCTTTTAGAGCACTAAAACATAAGGTTACCCATCGGTAAAAATTGATGATGATTTCCTTCATACACTCAAAAGATTGCCCCTTGTGGTCACCTCCCACCCCTGCTCTGCTGAGCCTTAATCCCCCATCACCTCCTTCTGCTCCAAGATCCTTCTTACCTTTTGGTTTGCTCTCAGAGGTCATCTTGCAGCCTGCTTCAGGGAGAACATGGAAACCACGACTTCTTGGCTCAACTTCCTCCTTTTCTACTCCAATCCTACTATGAACCATAACTAAAATTTCAAAATTTCGCCTCTTCTTTCTCCCAAAACAAAAGGGAAGTCCCTCTCCAGTCCAAGATGACTCCCTTTATTTGAATATCAACCCAACTCACCACTTTTAGGGACCTCTCAACAACTTCTACACGACTTTTTAAAAATTGTGTTCTGTAAAATACAAGGACCCTGTAATATGTCAACAGAGGCTCGGAAGGGGAAACATGTCTGTGTATGTGTGTTTGTATGTAAGTATGTATCTATCCATCTATGTGTCTAACTATCATCTATCTGCCTGTTCACTCACCCGTCCGTTCATCCATTCATCCACCCATGCATCCCATTATCTATCTGCCTACCTACCTACCTATCATCTGTCTTTCTATTATCTTCTGTGATCAAACATGTTGGAAGCTCACCTCTTCCCCATTCTTCACACACACCCTTATATATCCTTCAGCCTGACCACCTGGAAAATCCACAGGATATATTAGCATGATAAAGACCCCAAGAAAAACTGCAGCACAAACAAAACTAACAAGAGCCTATTTATTTTTGTCTCTTTCAAAATTTCCCAAACTGAGTTGAAGAAAGACCTTCTTTTGTGTGTGTTTTCCTGATTGTGTGTTTTCTGAGTCCGGTGTGCCTTGGATCACCTTTTGGGAAGCACTCAGTTGTGTGCTTCTTGGATGGAATTCCTCACAAGGCCAGTGCTTTTTCCTGTATTGCCTTGCCGAGCTCTTGATCTTCAATTGCTACCACAAACTGAGCACATACGTTGTGCACCAGTTATGTGGTGCTCACGAGTGGTCTACATCTAACAACTTTATGCAATAATGTATCATTATACTCATCTTACAGATGAATAAAGAGAGGCTGAGAATATCAGGAGTCTGCTCCAAATCAACCGTGAGTAGCAGAGTCAGAGTTCGGACCCATCAGGGTGCAAAGTTTTCATGCACCCGGAGTCTGTGATCTAACCGCTCCTTTCCACTCCTAGAAGCTGAAAAGCCAAAAGCTACACTTTTATCTTTTACAACACGAAGGCTGTCACTAAAGAAATCTCATCTCTCAGTTAATTTCTTCAGAGGATGCCAGTTTCCTAAAATCCTACCTGTCTCCAGTTCATGAGGAGCTGAAACTGTGTTTTAAATCCAGAGGGAACGGCCAACAGCCCCTCTTCTTTGGTGGCGCATTTATAAACAGATGCAAGACAGGAAATAGGTATCCCACACCCCTGCCCCAGGGTGTCTGTGGACAGAACAAAGAGCAGGGTTCTGTGCCTAGCCAGCGTGCAGAGCCTATAATGTGATTGCTGCCTGATGGTGCGAAATGGATTCAAGGCTCGGGTCCATCTGGTTTGTGTATCGTGAACGAGCTGTTAAAGTGTCAGGACTTAACTTCTCTGGATTTGAGGAAGTCTCATGAGGTTTTATGGAGCAGTTAAGATGGGTGTAAACCTCACTGGCGGGATCAGCTTCTCCTATATGATCTGAGACGTGCATAGTTCATAGGATCAAGAAGCATGAGTTAGAAATAAGAGGATGGACCCCGAGAAAATTAGGGAGCTGAGATGTAGAATCCAGACTGCATTGAGTATCTGCCATCACAAGCAGATACTGTTTGTGAGCCTTAGTATCTCCTCTGTGACATGTGGACAATATTATCTTGTCCAATCCACAAGGCTGTTTGGATATGAAAGATAATGAGAGTTGTAAAGTTTCTTACTAATGGGAAGTGTGGTTACTAGCTTCCTTTCATTTCCTCCCTTGGAAATAGCTAGAAAAGGTTACAGGGACCTTGTCTCCTGTTCCTGTTCTCCCTCTCTCCTCTTCAGAATTAGGCAGTATCATCTTACTAAAAGATATTCAAGAATAACTTGCAGTTGCTGTGGGTTCTAGCCTTGGAAAGAATATAAGAACATGGCCCCAGGCTGAGTAAGGGGAAACAGGAGATGGAGTGGTTATAAAACATGTCTGCAAATCCCTCGATACACTTCTCATAAAAAATGGCACTGAAATCTTCTCTCCTTGACTATGTACCAGGCTAACAAATAGAATATGGTAGAAGTTATGGTCTATGACTTTTGAGGCTAAGTTGATGATAGTCGCTCTAGCCCCTGCTCTGGTTCTCCTGCTTGGGACACTCACCCTTGGATTTCTAGGACTTGATACATCTCTTTTTCTCTCCCTTTCATCCACATCTTGGTTTTCTTGCTCTCTTGTATAAGACCTCATTTTCTTCTTCTGAAAATGGGTCTGCTGTGTGTGGCTGGGGTTGGAGATGAGTCTACAGAGAGTCCTATAACTACATTCTTACCATTTTCCTCTCCCAGTTTCTTGATGTAAATTTCAAGGAAAGAACTCCAACTGGCTCTGTTTGGATCATGTGCCCATTCATGACCCAATCAATCACTGCAACCAAAGGGATGAAACACCATTATTGGCCAATATAGGTCACATGTCTAGCCCTTGGGCTTTAGTGGGGTAGGGGTGTCAGGAACCAGATGTAATGAGTAGAATTACTAATGGAGTAAGGGACATGGAGAAGAGACAGTTCCCCCCAAAAAGTGGGTGATTTGTGCTCAAAAAGTGGGGAGAGATGTGCAGCAATGACAAAGAGAAGACATTCATGTCAGCAGATATCACATATATAATTTTCTAGCTGTCTTTCCTACTCAATTGTAAGCTCCATGGGTCACAGGGTTGTATCCTCAGGGCCTAGCATAGTGGCTGGTACATAATAGGTCCTCAGGATGACCCTCAGTGCTTTTTCTACCATGTTAAGCTGGGATTGGCATGAGCCCTACACAAACAGGTGAGGATTTTCTTGGTGGAATTAGCAACGATATTGCACCTATAGGATTAGAAACCACTCACTGAGTGCAAGACCTTAAACTGTTACTTATTTTCTCTGAGCTTGTTTTGTTATCTGTAAAATGGGCTCAATAATAAAACTTACCTCAAAGGGATACAGAATGGACTCGGGGGAAAGTATATGAATGAGCTAGAATGCTAATACCAAATAATGTATTACTATCTCCAAGAGGTCTCTGGGTGAATTTTTCACCTTCTCCCTGGAGCCCAGCTAAAGGACTGGACCTTGATGATTCAATGCCACCCAGTTACACTTGCCGAAATTCACTCTGTTTTTCTCAATGTTCACATCCGTCAAATGGGAATACTGATTCCTTCCCCTTCTTACACCAGGCCATAATTCAAGGTGGAATGCCTTCCGGATGGAGGGTGCTGATTGGAGTCACTTCCTCCTCTCTCTGCTGTTATGATTCATTATCTTGCAGTGCGGCTCTTTGGTTCAGCATCAGCAGGCCCTCTGGGAAATAGGTTTGGAGGGGGGAAGAACATGGGAGAATAATATGCTTTTTATTTCTAATGGCATTTCCCCAACCACTGCTTCCTCCTGCACTCCGAAGCATTAGGGAATCCAACTTATATGGTGAAGCTAGCAGCTTGCTCAGTGACAGAGGAACTGGCAGGGGTGGGAAGGCCAGGTTCAGGAGTCTACATGGCAGTTGTGGGAGGCAGGGAGCTCTAACTCTGTTCTAGGAGGTTCATAATTTGCTCTAAATTTTTTGGAGTAAAATCTAGGCTTCAGTGATGACTCTTCCACTTACCAGCTGAGGGGCTTCTCTGAGCCCGTTTCCTCACCTATAAAATGGGACTAATAGTCCCTGCTCCATCCGTATCAATGAGACCATGAGAGGGAGAGCGTCAGGAACCAACTCCCTCCTCTCTCTCCCTCAAATGTCTCAAGACAGGATGCTCCTAATTTCTCCAGCTCTTTTCCTTCAAATTCCTTTTGTTAAAGTCTCAAACTTTTATAAGACACATGGCAAAATACTCCAGAACCTATTTCAATATCTGAGGGTTTTATTGAGCACCTACTGGTGCCAGGCACTGAATTAAGCATTAGGGGTACAGCACTATGGCCCGCAATAATAGTCCCTTTCCCCATGGGATCTTAAGTTGAAGAGACAAAGGTTAAATAAATAAATGATCACTCAAACAGATATGTGATAGCTGCTGACATGGATGTGCATTCTTTTTTGTTGTTCAACATCTTCCCCCCACTTTTGAGCCTAGACATTCCACTTTCTTTGAGGAAATTTCTCCTTCTCCATACCATGTGGTTAGCTGGGCCTGTTGATAATACCTAGCTGCATCCATTTTCTCAAGGGTCCACATGTGACCCATGCTGGCCAATCACAGTCCCTTATTCTGGCTGCTGTGACTGGTTCAAAGGTGAACACATGACCCAGACAGAGCCAACTGGAGTCCCTTCCTGTACGTGTGTATGGGAGGAAGGAAATGGAAAGGATGTTAGTATGGAGCTGTCTGTTTGCAGACATTCCTTATTTACCTCCAGCCACATGGAGAAGAACGGTTTTTCAGGAGAAAAAAAAATGATGAGTCAACATACAAGAGGGAAGCAGAACCAAGATTTGGACAGGGAGGGAGAGCTGTACTTTAACATCTCCAAAGTCTGTGGGTAGCGCCATCCCTACATTTAGCTGTCACATGCAACAATAAAGCATCTTTTAAAATTAGTCTAGCTTGATTTGGGTGCCTGTGACTTACAATATAAAAGGGTTTGGATCTAAGCAAGTGCTTTGCAGGAAGCACGTAGAACTATACAAGGGTATAAGAGGAAGAATGTGTGTGTGTGTGTATATATACATATATATATATGTAAGTCCTATAGTTATAGGATTTTACTGTTACAGGCTTATTGTAGCCTGAAACAAGAAACAACTTCAAGTTCAATAGTCAGCGTGCTTGTTTCTGGACATTTATCAATCACATGCCGCCCCAGGAAATTTCTCACTAACTCCGTCTTTCTATTTTCTCTTGCCTCCACTTATATTCTCAAATCTCCTTCTTTCCAGACCCTTCTCTCTTCTTACCACTTCAATCTGTCCTTGAGATCTTACCTCCCATCTCCGATCTGCCTGCAGAAGCTAAAAGCCCATTCAGGTATCATACAGAGCAGGGGTTTTCAAACTTGAACATGCATCAGAATCGGAATCACCTGGAGGGCTTGTGAAAACACAGAGTACCTGGTCCCAACCCTGGAGTTCTTGACTCAGCAGGTCTGGGACCTGAGAATCTGCATTTCTAACAATTTCCCAGGCGATGCTGATGGTGCCAGTCTGGGGGCCACACTTTGGGAACAATTGCTGTAGAACAATTGGTTTTTCTCAGCCCCATTTCCACCATCCAGCCCCCATATGATAACCTCTTCTTTCTCCACTAAAGAGCTATTCCGCATTGCACTCCATCCCAAACCAAATAACCATCTCTTTGCCTCGGTTTACTGATCTGCAAAGTGCAGATAATAATGGTACCCACCTGATAGGATAGTTTCACATAATGTGGTTAGAAGAGTTATTGGTGCATAGAACACAATACTTCAGTGTTAGCTATAATTTTTAGGCACTTTGCATTTCCCAAAGATGGTCAACATCTCCCATCCCGTATGTTTGTCTCATAGTGTAACATTGATGCTCCTCCCATTGTGTGTGAGAACTATGTCACCTTGAACCTGGGGGGACCTTTGTGATTGCCTTGACTAATAATAGACTAGAAGAAGTGATGCTATGTGACTGCTGAGGCTAGTTCATAAAAATGCCATGCACTCCCTCCTTGTTCTCTTAGAGGACTCATTCTTGGAGCCCAGTCTCCATACTGTGAGGAAGCCCAAAAGGCACACACTAACAGAACACGTGGAAAAGCTTCAGCCTCGTGTAGATGTTCTGGTCAACATCCCAGTTGATGTCACAGCCAACAGCCTGCATCAAGTGCCTGACACGTGAGTGATGACACCTCCAGATGATTCCAGCCCCTAGCCATTGGATCACCCCCAGCTGTCAAATCTTCCAGCTGAGGCCCCAGACATTGTGGGGCAGAGACAAGCTGTTCCCATTGTGCCCCATCCAAATTCCTGACCCACAGAATGAATGAGCATAAATAAAATGGTTGTCTTATGCCATTAAGTCTTGTAGTGGTTTATTATATAGCAGTAGTAACTAGAACACTTATGATTAATTGATAATATATATTACTTATCCCAATAGACAAATCATCAAACATTACCATTCCCCAAGAAAGTAGGGAGTAGGGGAGTCCCCAGATTTTCTTTTTGCTGCCTCACTGTGGTGAAATGACAGGGACAGAGTGCATAGTGCTCTCTTTGCTTATGTCTCCCTCTCTCCCTCTCACCTGCTGCCAGGGCCCAGGCCTTACCCTCTCCTCACTGCCTGTCTCCTATTTCTTTGGCCCTTCTCTAGATTCCTATCCTGAATGTCCTTGGTGGGTGTGGCAGTGGATGGTGACTGCCTACTGCAGGATGGTGAAACCCAAACCAAATTTTCTCTTCCCAGCCAATGGGACCTGCTATTCTGAGTCTGTGAACAGCCAGCTTAAAAAACTCTCCAATGGCTCCCAGTTGCTTTTAGGACAAAGGCCGAGATGCTTCCCAGAACCTACAAAGTCCTGTGGGTCCTACCTACCCCTCTTCCCTCAAAGTGTGCTTTGGGCTTCTGCACTTTCAGTACTCCAGCTGCACTGAGTGCCTTTTGATTCCTTGAATGCTGCATCAGGCCTCAGACACCAGGCCTTTGTCCATGCTGTTCCTTCCGCCTGGGTTGCTTTTCCCTTCCCAAGTTGACTCCTACACCGTTTTCAGATCTCGGTGCCAGTCTCCCTTCTGCAAGAACCTTTCTGGGCTCCTGCTATTGCATGTGCCTGGAGTACTGCATCCTTTGCCTCTTGCAAATTTACAACCATACCTTGAGCATTGGTTTGATGTCTGTTTGCACCATAGATTTTAAGCCTTTTAAACCTTAAACTTGCTTGTTTTTCCCCCTCGTATTGCTCCACTAAATGTAGCGTGGTGCTTGGCACATTGTAGGTGCTGAATAAATATTTGCAGAATAAATGATTAAACCAACACACATAATAACCTTTGTTCTGTGCTTGATCTTCTGGTCAAATTTTTGCAAGCAGTAGAGCCCTTCCAGAAATGACAGAGAAGAAATGCAGTTGTGATGTGAAGTTAGGGCATGCAGAATTCTACCTATTGTACTTTGCATTCTCAACAGGAGCCTTGGAAGAGGCGGCAAGGGTGGCAGTTCAGGGACAGACTGCCTGGGCTGGCGTTCTGATTTGCCGAAGGTAGTAAGCAACTATCTCTGTGACCTTGAACAAAGTACTGAACTGCATCTCTGTAAAATGGGGAGAATAATCATTCTACTTCATAGGATTGTTATACGCTATAAGCGCTAACATATGTACAACCCTGAGACCTGAGCCTAGCTCACAATAAGGGCTCTGAGTTTGCTGTTGTTATTGTTGTTGTTGATTATTACGGTTGTTGTTGTTTTTATTGTTATTAGAAAGACTCCACTTTGTCAGGCTGCTCTGTCTCCATCCTATTGCCCTCTCCAGGTGCCTATACAGAGTCAGCCCTTGTGCTGCTCATTTACAAATAGCTGCTTGGTGTCTCCCCTCATCTCCACTCCTCTGGATTCCAGAACTTCCCACACAGGAGCCCAGCCCTGGACAGTGACGGTGACCCATGGAGAATGCATCATGCCTGTCAGGGTCCTGTTGGTTCAGCGGCTGGGGAGGCAGTGCCCTGCTGGGAACGATCACTTCCCATGAAGATGGATGGCTTTCTCTGTCCCGGCGACACTAACTGCGAGAGATGGGGGAACCTGCTGCAGGAGGGAAGGGGCAGTTTGTATTAAGTGGTCACTGGGCCCAGTGGGGAAGTATGAGGGGGGCATGGAGGCTTATTTCACTGTTTCAATAACACCAGCCTTGCAGACTGACAAGACTTCTCCCCTCGGAGAGCTAACTGCTCAGCCGTCCACGTGTTTCTTTGCACACTGGTAAAGCCCAGGGGTTACCGGCATGCATTTTGGAATCAGCTGGCTTGTGAATAAGTCCTTGCTTTGCCGTTTCCTTGGCTGCTAAATTTGGACCCACTATTTAACTTCCCTTTGGTCTCTGTTTCTTAATGAAATAATAGTATCCACCTTGTTAAGTTACGCTGTGAAGTCTGAGAGACCTGCATGTGAAGCCCTAAGAGAGGCTGGAGAGCAGGGGTGCCAAACGTGTTCAGTAATGGATCAGCAGATCAATCTTTTGGGCTCTGTGGTCCGTAAGATCTCTGTTGCAGATACTCAACTCTGCCAGTGTAGCCCCAAAGCAGCCATAGATAATAGATACATAATCAGGCATGGTTGTGTTCTAATAAAACTTTACATAAAAAGCAGGCAACGGTGAGATTTTGCCTGTGGGTTGTAGTTTGTAAGCCCTGGACTAAAGCCTAGTCCTCAAGAGCAGGGGCCATGGATCCCGGCTGCACCTGGGTTTAGATCTCAGCTCTGACACTCACAAGCTGTGTGAGCTTTCTTCACCTGCTGGCAGTTGTAAGAATTTTGTGAGTCATACATTGATAGGCCAAGGACTTGCAATGGTGTTTAGGAAACGTTAAACACAACTTAAGTGTTTGCTCTCATTTTCATTATTACAGAGTGAGTATAAAACAGGTCCCAGGCCAGGTGCGGTGGCTCATGCCTGTAATCCCAGCACTTTGGGAGGCCGAGGCAGGCGGATCACAAGGTCACGAGATCGAGACCATCCTGGCTAACATGGTGAAACCCCGTCTCTACTAAAAATACAAAAAATTAGCTGGGTGTGGTGGCGGGCATCTGTAATCCCAGCTACTCAGGTGGCTGAGGCAGGAGAATGGTGTGAACCTGGGAGGTGGAGCTTGCAGTGAGCCGAGATCGCACCACTGCACTCCAGCCTGGGCGACAGAGCGAGATTCCATCTCAGAAAAAAAAAAAAAACACATGGTCCCTGCCCCGTATACCTCTTAGTGTTTTTCCAAAAGGGCTTCTTCTGCAGGTTTATGATCTGACATACTTCTATTTGGCTAAAAATAAAAAATGAAGAGATGAGAGAGGTGGCTTGCACCCAGCTACCCAGGAAGGAGGCTGAGATGGGGGTGTTGCTTGAGCCCGGGAGTTCGAGGCTGCAGTGAGCTATGATCACCCCACTGCACCCCAGCTTGGGTGACAGAGTGAGATGCCATTGCTAAAAAAAGAAGTGCTCAGGAAATATGTGTGGAATGAATGTATGATGCTTAAAGAATTGGCACACAAAGAGAGTCAGATAGCTTAATGGTTAAGAGAGGTGCTCTGCAGCCAGCCAACCTGGGGTTGAATCCTAGCACGGTTCTTTTCTATCAGGTTGGTGCAAAAGTAATTGTGGTTTTTGCCATTAAAAGTAATGGCAAATAGCTGTGAAATTTCCCTTGCCTAGCTTCTTTGAACATCTGTTTTCTTCACAATTTCATAGATTATTGGGAGGATTATGTGGGATAATGTCTTAAAGTGATGATGAACTCATCTTCATCAATCATTGATGATGATGGTGATGGTGGTGATGAAGAAAGAGGACACCTTGCCCTTGGTCAAATTTATTCTTAGTCACCCATCATTGGCTGCCAGAATACTGGGACCTGTGTTGAAGCATCATTTTTGGCACAGCCATCCCTGCTAAGACATGGGAGGAACTTCCCTGGAACATCCAGATGGAGGCTGGGGACCACACTCAAGGAGAACAGGCCTGTGAATGAGAAGATCTGGCTTCTCATTTTAGGCACAACAAACCCATTCCTCTGTGTCTCTGGGCAAGTCAATCCCTGCCCCTTGTCAGAGTCTGCACTTTCCTCTTCCTAAGCCAAGTGGGTGGACACAAGGGAAGGGAACTCAGATTCAATGAATCCTACATGTGGAGTCTGTTAACGTAGGACTCCCTAAAGACACCATGACTATACTTTTGTTCCTTCAAATCACCCTTTCAAGAACTTTCAAGTTTGTTAAGCCTTGACTGTTACCATTGGTGCCTAGTACTGCACCCAGTACATCGAAGGCAATTGAGTATATTTTCCCCCAAATAAATCATAAAATAACCGCTAACAATGAATTAGGACTTAATTTAAGGGATTTTGTTGAGTCAGATTCTCCTCTCTGAGATGAAGATGAACATACAAGAGGTTTGGGGAAGATGTGCAGAATCAGTAGCAGGGGAAGTGAAAGAAAGGAAGCAGGAGTGGGAAAAGGAAGAAGCCAGGTTTACAGTCTGAACAAGGGCCTCAGTCAACCCCACGGGGAGCTCTAAAGCCAGATAAATTTCAGAGTTTCCCCCAGTTAGGGTAAGGGATGCAGTTGTCCTGGGAAGATGGGGGATACTTGGATGACATAGCTCTCTTTGCGGCTATGGCAATTCCCAAAGAAGACTGACAGCAGAGGAGTAGCAGGTGGCAGCACCCCTAGGATGTGAGAGAATAGGTCCCTCACTCCCAAAGGGAGAGCTGGGTAGCATATTACAGTATCCACTACAACTATGTTATCCCTGTTTGCAAATGAGGAAATTGAGGTGCAGAGACATAATATAAATTGCTCAAGAGCTCAGCATTAGTAAGAAGAGTGCTAAAATTCCAATCCAAGTCTGTTTGGCTCCAAATCAACTTGATTCTTGTTATACTCAGAAGTTGCCAAAAGATACACTGAAGGGGGCATATTTGTCCAACTCTTCTGGTCAATGAGGGCAGCAGCAGAGTGGGTTGGCACAGAGAGCAATGGAGGGGAGAGGAAATAGGTCAAGAAACACATCAGACCAGAGCAGATATTTTAGTGAATAAGAATTTCTCCTGCCATTAAAATAATTAGCTGGTTAGAAAAGGTCAACCCCCAGAGGAATGAGAATGCCATCATTTACCTCTTCCTCCGAGACAGCCATCTTTGCTTCCTTCAAAGAGTAAATTCAGAGTGAGTCCTGGTTAAGAATCTTGGTTCTGGGGTTCAGGATATCTGGCTGTGAAGTTTTCTGTCTCCCTTTTCTAGCCGTATGGGCAGATTATTGACTCTGATTTTCTACCTCCTTATCAACTAAACGAAGGTATTAACAGTATTTACCTATGGCTGTTGTTGGAGCTAAGTGAGATAAAGTCTTTTTTTTCTTTTCTTTTTTTTTTTTTTTTTTGACAGTGTCTTGCTCTGTAGCCCAGGCTGGAGTGCAGTGGCATGATCTCGGCTCACTGCAACGTCTGCCTCCCGGGCTCAAGTGATTCTCCTGCCTCAGCCTCCTGAGTAGCTGTGATTACAGGTGTGCACCACCATGCCCAGCTAATTTTTGTATTTTGTATGTTTTGCCATGTTGGTCATGCTGGTTCTTGAACTCCTGAGCTTAACTGATCTGCCTGCCTTGGCCTCCCACAGTGTGGGGATTACAGTCTTGAGCCACCGGGCCCGTCCATGAGGTAAAATCTTTAAAGTGCCTGTCATCTTAGTAGGTGCTAAATACAGGTTACTACTAGACTTCATAACTTCAAATTCTGTACGTGGACCTGTTCTTTTGTCTCTTCTGAGTACAGTCTCCTGAAGATTGTTCTGACCAAACCTTTCTATGGAGAAAACAGAGCTGTTATTGCTTTAAGTGATTTGTAGGGTGTTTTGGTTTCAATAAAATGTGTATGGAGAGGTGACATTGTCTTAGGGATCAAAAAGATTAAACAGCAAACCTGCTATTTTTCTGTGTACACTTTCAGGAAAATCATTTCAATTTATGTTTTAAAAGACGCTAAGTGACAGCGATGCCTCATTTGAAATCAGAAAGAATGAACTTTCATTCAACACAACCATATGCTTTCTTTGATGGCTTGAATGGTTAGGGAATATGTGACATTAAATTCAGCAGTTTCCCACTCATCAAGCATGGTTTTTTCATAATTCTTGATTGGCATATGGTGTCTGAGCTTAGCTTGGACCCCAACTCCAGGAAGTGTAGATGCCTGCTGAAGAGGGGCTTCAAATACTAACTGATCAATCATTAAAATTACAGTGAGTTCATTTCAGTTCCCTTTAGATCAATCAGCACTCACTGAAGACCTCTATGTATGAAGGAAGGGGAAGAGAGAGGGAGAGAATGAGGAAAGAAGAAATAGGACTGGAGAGAAGGAAAAAAAAAAAAAGAAAAAGGCAGGAGAAAGCTGAGTCCATGTTTCATGGATAGACAAGGTTTCATCTGGAGTCATCTTTTCTTAGCTATGGGATCCTAAACACATTACTTAATTCTTTCAAACCTCGGTTCCCCTCATCTATAAAAAATGAAAACAAAATACCTATTTTAGAAAATTTTAAAGTCATAAGTGTATGAGATATGTGATACCAAGTGTGATATTCAATACAGAGCAGGTGCTCAACAATTTTTCCACCTTCTTCAGAATCATTAAAAAAAAAAACCAAACCATTAGCACTGCTTTTTTAAAACAGATGACCACTCAAGGACAGTCTCTTCGTAGAGGACTATCTGCATCATTTGCAGGACCTGGTGCCAAATGAAAATGTGGGTCCCTTGTTCTAGAAAACTCGGTTCAGGTATTGCACATGTTAAATGCAGGTGCAGGACACGAAATGGTGGAGGAGATGCCGATGACATGTCTCCTCTGCTCGTTGTCCCGTCACACTTCACATGCAACAAAAAGATACAATTATTAAGTGTTTTAGGGTGGTGACAGGGGAGCATCAGACCAAAGGAGGAGAAGCCCCTCAGCGTGTAGGCTCTCGGTGACTGCGCAGGTTGCAGGCTATGAAGCTGGCCCTGTCTCCATAACACAATTGAGGTGAAAAGCCTCCTGAATAGGCTGGCCTGGGGAAGTTTATCCCTGAGTTCCTAGTGCTTTCTTGCTGCTTTGGAAACCAACCTTTGATTTCTGCAATCCAGGAGATGATGCCATCTTTGATATCCAATGCCCTGCAGACACCTGTAGTCATTCTACCCTCACGAACTCCCTAGGAAGTGGTCACAATTATTAGCCCCAACCCACAGAGGGAGAAAATGAGGCAGAAAGCAGTGGCAAGACTTGCCCCAAATCAAATGGTTATTGGGCACTTGAGTTGAGATTCGAACCTAGATCTCTTTTGTACCAACCTCTGGGTAGCTGCCTCTATTTCACTGGACCACAGATGCTCCCAAACCCCCACACACCTGCACTCATGTGGACATGTCCAGTCCCCATGTCTCCACCAGACCTCTTCTAATCTAGCTCTGAACTTTTCAAAGACAATAAGTCTGAAGAGTGATACATTCAGTCAACTCCAAAAATAAAACGGATGCCGGTGGATACATCTATGAATGATACAATGTATTGGCTGGTTTCACTGTTAATTAATGCAGAGAAGAATCATTAAATCAGATCAAATTCATTTAAAAACAGTTCAGCTCTGCTCTGCTCGCCTCTCCTCCCCATTGTGAGGGCCGTATGGATGGCTGGGGGGAGGGAGGGAAAAGGGAACAGATACAGCGATTTAATTTTTCAAGTAACACTGTTCAAATAAAAATACATTTGTTCGAATGAGATTGCCCTGAAACAGCGTTTGCATTGATGGCTCTGAGAGTAATTCTATTAAGCCGGAGCATATTTTTCATCAGGAGGCAGGAAAAGAGGGCGAGAGAGTAGGGGAGAGAAAGAGGGACTGGAAGCCGAATGTAACCTTACAGAGCTGCAAAAATCAAACACTTTAACCCATTTTATCTCAAGGTTCTCCACTAAAGTTATTAACCATTCTGTTTCCTGCCATGGCATTCAGAAGGTTTTGCCTTATCTCAGACATGCTAGGCCTCTGGGGTTCAGCCAGGCAGGCTGCCACATCTGGGAATATACACCCAGTATCTGCTGGGGCCAGGAAAGTTGAGAATCATACAGGCTGTAAAGAGTTTTTGTCTTCATTGCTCCTGGAGAGAAAAACAGCTCAAGAAATGACTGAGTGTGTGTGTGTAGATGCATGCACACACACACGCATACACACATGCTCATACACACATACAGTATGCACACACGTGCACACCACATAGATATAGTATATATACACGTAAATACATATATACATGTACATACACATGATGATATATGCACATAATTTGCATATATTAAAAATTACCTTTGCATGAGTATATATGCATACCTACCCCATTCATATGCACATAGATATACATATGTATAAACATATACATATAAAATACGTATGTACATATGCATGCGAGGTGCATATATACACTTGCATACATTGTCATAATCACCTTTGGATGAAACTCGGCATGTACATGCATGCGCACATACACATATATGTATACAACATACATACACATATGCATATTATGCAATACACATTTACACATGCATATATAATATATATTCACTTTTGGATGACTTTGTATGTATATATACGCACACATATACACATTCTAACATGTACGTTTGTTGGAAGTTTGAAATCATCAATGAGTCTGAAAAATAAATTCAACTGTGATTTCTGGAGTGTCACCATATTCAGGACGCTGTGCTGAATGCCTTACAAACATGAGCTCACTGGGTCCTCACACTAACCATCAGATACTGTTATTTCCATTTTACAGATGAAGAAGCTGAGACTCACACAGGGGAAATGATTTTCCTAAAGTAAGTGACGGAGCAGGGGCTCTAACCCAGGCCTGTTTCAAATCTAAAACTCGGGTTCTTAATCGATTTTGTGTTTCTAAATCCATTTACAAATTCCCAGGAAATCTTGGATCAAATCACAGTTTGCCCGTTTTCTCAGCTTTTCCATCTATTCAATAGAATGAATGATTCCTGACCCATCCTGGAGTCAAGAAGTCTGAGAATGAGCTTGGCAGCCAGCGACAACCAACCTTTGATTTCTTCAATGCAGGACATGACACCATCTTAAATGCATAGAGTGAAAACGAAACTTATTGAGGTCCTAGCACAGTGATATTATAGCAGTTCATCCAGGCCCTATATGCATGGCCTTCTCTGTAGACTTGGGTGGGATGCTGATTTCTCCTCTCAGGAACGAAGAGTGCCCTTTCCTTTTGATGCCAGAGAATCCTTTAAACGTTCCCACCATTCTTTTCCCAGAGCCCTTATCACCTTCTAACATATATTTTTTTTCCTTCTTTTTCTTTTTTTTTTTTTCGAGACGGAGTCTGGCTGTGTCGCCCAGGCGGGAGTGCAGTGGAGCAATCTCGGCTCACTGCAACCTCCGCCTCCCAGGTTCATGCCATTCTCCTGCCTCAGCCTCCCGAGCAGCTGGGACTACAGGCACCCGCCACCACACCCAGCTAATTTTTTGTATTTTTAGTAGAGACGGGGTTTCACCATGTTAGCCAGGATGGTCTCGATCTCCTGACCTCGTGATCCACCCGCCTCGGCCTCCCAAAGTGCTGGGATTACAGGCGTGAGCCACTGTGCCCGGCCCCTTATTTTTCTTAGAGAATCTCTGTCTCCCTGCTAAAATATAACCACCTGGGATCCCCTTCTAACATATTATATGTTTTATCTATTTATTTTTTGTTAATTAATCTCCTTAAGGATTCATTAAGGACATCATTAATGAGTCATTAATGAATTTCCTTAAGGAATCTATCCCTGATAGAATATAACCACCTGGAAGGCAAGGAAATTTGTCTGTTTTGTTCACTGATGTGTCTCAAGATCTTAGGCCAGTACGAGCAGACAGGAGACCCATAGTAAATATGGCTGATCTGTAATAATATTCTCTCTCTATGCATCTGTCTCCTCAACAAGAACATAAAGTTGGCAAATCTGGGGTCTCTGTCTTCTTCCTCTTTCTACCTCTTAGTTCTTCATATTGACTGGCCTATAGGAGGCATCCAGTAGAAATGTGTTGAATAATAGCAATAATCATCTCTTCCTTTATGGAGATCTAATTATGTAGCAGGCCTTTTTTTTTTTTAATTTTACTTTAAGTTCTGGGATACGTGTGCTGAACGTGCAGGTTTGTTACATAGGTATACATGTGCCATGGTGGTTTGCTGCACCTACCAACCCGTCATCTATGTTTTAAGCCCCTCATGCATTAGGTATTTGTCCTAATGCTCTCCTTCCCCTTGCCTCCTGCCCCTTGACCTGTCCCAGTGTGTGATGTTCTCCTCCCTGTGCCCATATGTTCTCATTGTTCAACTCCCACTTATGAGTGAGAACATGCAGTGTTTGGTTTTCTGTTCCTGTGTTAGTTTGCTGAGGATGATGGTTTCCAGCTTCATCCATGTCCCTGCAAAGGATATGAACTCATTCTTTTTTATGGCTGCTTAGTATTCCATGGTGTATATGGTGGCAGACCTTATTTTAACTACTTCATGTGCAGTATATCATTTGGTCCTCAAACAAACAACACTACGTGGGAGATATCACTAATATGTCCATTTTACAGATGAAGAAACTGAGGTACAGAGAGGCAAAATGTCCCACCCAAGTCTACAGAGAAGGCCATGTGCATAAGGCCTGGATAAATCACTATAATATCATTGTATTAGCACCTCAATACATTTTTATTTTCACTCTTTTAAAAATTCTCTGAGATTAGATACATAAAATATGAAGTCAACACCTTTCTCGGTGGTGAACTGTCTGTGCGACACTTGTTTGCAGATATGTCACTGCCATGTTTTCCATTCTGGTCCAATATAGATTTTTCTCAAGTTGGCCACCTAATACACGGAGGTGTGATTCAGGTCCCCTCAGCAGGGCTGTAGTGACATTGTGACATTTGAACTAGGAATTGGAGGAAATTGATGCCATATATCAGACTCAATGCCAGTAGCTTCTTGGGGATATGTCAACAAAGGTCCTGAGAGATGATAACACAGAATTATAGAAAAGGCCTGGGTGGAACAGTCTTCAGGGAAGAAAGAGAAACTGGGTCCTATTCATAACTGAGCAGTAGAGGTCCTCAAGATAAAAGCAATGTTTGGGGACAGCTGCTTAATGTCAACTCTCATGTACTTCCCTTAAAGCAATTCCAAGTGAAGTTTAGAGACAGCAGGTGCCAGGGAGAAGAAGATTAGTCTTCACAAAGCCCCTACTATGTGCCAGTCCTGGTGTGAGCTCAGCGATCATTTTATATCATTCAATCTGGCGATTTTTAGCCCTGTCTGCATGTAAGACTCATCCAAAGAGATTTTTTTAAAGACAGAAGACACCCAAGACCCAGCCCCAGAGATTCTGAATCCACTGGCCTTAGGGAGCCTGGACAAAGCTGTGTTCCAGAACACTTAAAATGATTTCCATGTAGGGCTGGGGTTAAGAATCACTGGTTTAATCTTTGCAACAATTCTCCAATATTGACCTTACTCTCATCTGCCTTTTAGAGATGATGAAACCAAGGCTGAGTGGCTAAGGAACTAAGCCAAGGCCATCCAGCTAGCATGTGACAGAGCTTGGGTTCATGCCCAGGGCGTCTGACTACAAATTTGTTACTCTTTCTACTGCCAAAGTGGTCAGGGTGAATGGGCCCTGTGAACACCTTCAATCCCACTCCTTGGTCATGTAGACCTGGTAAAGATCAATGCCACCAGAATCCAGGTGGTCTCTATTCAAACACTCCTCCCAGAGGAATGAGCTTTGGGGACTCTAGTTTGCACACTCATATTGAACTCCTAAAAATGGAAATAATGGTGGAGGTGGGGCTGGGTCAAGAGCAGGATAGGAACCCAGTGTCTGGAACTTACCTTCATCCTTTTTCTGATCCGAGGGCTTGCTGGGACATTCCCCAATATCCTCTCCATCTTGGACTGCACTTCCAGGGAAGAAGGAACCATGCAGGTTCCTACAAGGGACCTTAGGCTCCTGAGGAGGAAAGGGGCCATTTAGCCTTCCTGACTCTTTATTGCTTTAATTAGCTGTTTGGTGACCTGACAGTCTCTTTGATGCACGTCCAGCGTCGGCCTGTGAAATACGGGGAATGTCAGCTTGTCGAACAAGGGTCAGCTAGACTATCAATACTGTTGTCCATCAGGCAGATCCAGGCTGGGTGTTGGCCTGCAATGATTAAGCCATCTCTCCCCTCCCCCTGGCCAAAGTGTCGGTGGCGTGTGGAGCATGGCCCGTGGCTGGAGGCGAGGTGACGGTGTCGAGGCCATTGGGCGGCTGACTTCAAACCAGAGGCCCAGGGCAGCAAACTGCAGGGAGAAAGCACAGTCCAAGGTAAACAAACTATAACAAACCCAAAAAAGGTGGCCAGTCAACAAGTCAGGACAAGAGGAGGGTCTCTGGGACACCCAGTGGGGTGCTCAGTCTTCAAGTTAACTCTGTCTGCACTGCTGGCTTCTGGGAGCACAGAAATTTGTCCTAAATCATTACAATGGTAAGTAACACAGACCAAGAAACAAAAACTGTAAGGTTTGAGGCAACTAAAACATCAGTGTATATTCATAGTGTGACGTGGCTAACAAATACATCGAAGGGATCTATAAATGCACTAATAAAGGTATACTGACTGCATTAAAGGAGGGGATTCATTCATTTCCCGAGTATTAACTGAGCATGTATTATGTGCCATGGTTTAATCTAGTTGCTGTGGATATTACAGTAAACAAAAAAGACATAAATCCTTGCTCTCATGGAACTTTCAAGGCAATAGAAACAGATTTTAAAAGAATAATAATTAATTATAAGGTATGGTAACATGTGCAATAAAGAAACAAAAGTGACTGGGCATGGTGGCTCAGGCCTCTAATCCCAGCACTTTGGGAGGCTGAGGTGGGTGGGTCACTTTGAGGCCAGGAGTTGGAGACCAGCCTGGCCAACATGGTGAAACTCTGTCTCTACTGAAAATACAAAAAATTATTGTATTTTCAGTAGAATGAAAATACTACTGAATGGTCTCACACACCTGTAGTCTCAGGCACTCAGTAGGACTGAGGCAGGAAAATCACTTGAACCCTGGAGGCAGAGGTTGCAGTGAGCCAAGAACGCGCCACTGCACTTTAGCCTGGGAGACAGAGCAAGACTCCATCTCAAAAAAAACAAAACAAAACAAAAAAAAGGCTGAGCGCGGTGGCTCACGCCTGTATTCCCAGCACTTTGGGGAGGCCAATGCAGGCAAATCACGAGGTGAGGAGATCAAGACCATCCTGGCCAACATGGTGAAACCCCATCTCTACTAAAATACAAAAAATTAGCCAGGGATGATGGCGGGTGCCTATAATCCCAGCTACTCAGGAGGCTGAGGCAGGGGAATCGCTTGAACCCAGGAGATAGAGGTTGCAGTGAGCTGAGATCACGCCACTGCACTCCAGCCTGGTGACAGTGTGAGACTCCGTCTCAAAAAAAAAAAAGAAAAAAGTTAAAAGTTTAGGAATGGTTTGCCATTGTAAACGTGGTTATAACAGAAAATGTCTATGAGAGGGCAACATTTAAGCAGTCTTGAAGGGGGTTGAGAAAAAAGAGAGAGAGAGAGAGAATGTCACACAGAGATCTGTGGGAAGGGTCTTCCAGGAAGCGGGAACAGCCAGTGCAAAGGTCCGGAGATGGAATTGTGCCTGGAATGCTTGAGGAATGCAGGAAGCCTATTAAAAGTGGAGTGGTGTGAAATGAGCGAGAAGCCAGTGAGAGATGAAGTTGGAGAAATAATTTAGGCCAGATTTTGAAGGGCTTTGTGGACTATTGAAGGGATTTTAGCTTCTACTCTGAGTGAGACAGACAGTGTGGGAAAGTTTTGACCAGAAGAGTGACATGATCTGACTTAGGTTGTAATAAAATCCCTCTGGTTGCTTTTTGGAGACTACAGAAGGGCAAAGACAAAAGCTGGGAGACCAGTGACGAGGTTTCTAGGTGGCCTTCCCTGAACCAAGGTGGCGTGCAATCTATATCTATAACTACATCTATTTCTGTGTCTATATCTATACTTTTGTATATGCAAACACCATATATATAAACATTATATATATAAAATGCTTATATGTTGAAAGAAGTATCTATATAGTGTTTACTTGAGGATATATATTTATATAAAACTGTTTACTTGGCTGATTTGTACAAAAGGAAAGAACCAGGAATTCTAACTTATGAAAGTATAAAGAAAAAGGATCTCTGGGGAAGTATTTTTGGGGAAAGGTGGTATGGTTTGGCTGTGTCCCCACCCAAATCTCATCTCATGTTGTCATCTGAATTGTAATCCCCACGCGTCACAGGAGGGACCTGGTGGGAGGTGACTGGATCAGGGGGGTGGTTTCCCCATGCTGTTCTCATGATAGTGAGTGAGTTCTCATGAGATCTGATGGTTTTATAAGGGGCTCTTCCCAATTGCTCAGCACTTCTCCTTCCTGCTGCCTTGTGAAGAAGTTTCTTTCTTCCCCTTCACCTTCAGCCATGATTGTGAAGTTTCCTGAGGCCTCCCCAGCCATGCTGAACTATGAGTCAATTAAACCTCTTTCCTTTATGAATTACCCAGTCTCCGGCAGTTCTTTTTTTTTTTTTTTTTCTTTTTTCAGAAGGAGTCTCCCTCTGTCGCCAGGCCGGAGTGCAGTGGCGCAATCTCAGCTCACTGCAACCTCTACCACCCCTGGGTTCAAGGGATTCTTCTGCCTTAGCCTCCCTAGTAGCTGGGACTACAGGCACGCGCCACCACGCCCAGCTAATTTTTTTGTATTTTTAGTAGTGACAGAGTTTCACTATGTTGGCCAGGATGGTCTCGATTTCTTGACCTCGTGATCCACCTTCCTGCCTCCCAAAGTGCTGGGATAACAGATGTGAGCCACCACGTCTGGCCTCAGGCTGTTCTTTATAGCAGTATGAAAATGGACTAAGCAGAGATTGGACCAGAAACACTCTTGGATTGCACATTAAGCAGTGTGGATTTGATCTGTGAGCACGGAGGAGCCATGGCAGGTGCTAGGGCAGGGAAGAATCATCATCAGATTGACTTCAGAATGATCCCTCTGGCTGTACAGCAGGAGACGTGTTGGTGGGACCATTGAGATGACTTTGGCAGTCATCAGGGTGGGAGTTCTTGAGGTCTTGTCCAGAAGGTGATGGTAGCATTAGAGAGAAGTGAGCAGATTTGAGTTATGATCAGAATGTAAAATAGAGGGGAGTTGAGTTGATGGGGTCTGAAATTATCCCTGCAGCAATTCATGCTGTAACCACACTGCGCTCTCTGCAGGGTCAGTACCCACCAGACCCTTCCCACTTTCATCCTGGCCCCCCTGTCTACTCAAGTACTTTTCTTTACCTGAGAATGTCTTCCCTATCCCCTGTCCCATCCCATTTATCTCCCTCGTCCTCTATTCCCCTCTCAAGACTCAGCTCTCATTTCCTACTTCATGAAGTCTCACTTGACACCTCTACCCTGGATTCCTCCCTAATGTGACTTTGCCCTTCTCAATCCCACTTGCACACTGTAGTGACTGCTCTCAGGACTGCCATATAAAGTTGTGCAGGTTGGGCACTGTGCAAATGGTCTGGCCAAAGTGGCCAATGGGGGATGAGATCCATTGATTCACCAAGTCCTGACTGCTCCAAGGGAATACCTTTTTCACATTTTTCTAATTCACACAAACCATGCGGTGGATTAGCCCTGATTGATTTCCAATATCTGCTGCACTGAATTGCAATTACTCATTCACTTGTCACCTGCCCAGATAGACTTAGCTCATTTCTCCATCCCTAACACCTAGGACAGTGTCTGAATGTTTTTTGAATATAAATAGATGAGTAGATAGATATACACATGGGTGGATAGAAGAAAGGATGTTATTCTTCCCAGTTGTATAATACACCAACACAGAAAAATAATAATTAGCTTATGTCAAATGTCTCATTAGCATCCCCATGGGGCATCTTGTCAAGATACCACCATTTCTCCACATGAGGAGACAAACTTTTCCTGAAGGACCAAATAGTAAATATTTCAGCTTTGTGGTCCATAAAGTCCCTGTTGCAACTACCCAGCTCTGCCGCTGTGTGTGAAGGCAGCCACAGACAATGCATAAATGAATGGGCATGGCTGTGTTCCAATAAAACTTTATTTACAGAATCAGGTGGGGAATGGTTTGCCTACCCTTGGTCCAGATCTCTATCTCACCAAGAAATTCTCTTTTTCATTTGTTTCTTTCCAATGACTCCATTTCTCTATGTCCAGACTGTAATGATTTATGATGCTAATAATATTTATAGCTAACACTTAATCTGTGTTTGTTCTGTGTCAGGCTCCAGCCTAAGCCCAGTTTATATATTATCCCAATTAATTCCCACAACCACCCTACAAGATACTAATGCTATTCCATATCGCAATGAAAAGACCAAGACACAAAAACTTAAAGTGGCCCAAGGGTATATAGTTTTAATTGCTGAAGTGGGCTCTCTGACTACTGAGTCTTGGATATTAGCAACTTTATATATTAACATAATAATGTTAGTAATAAGAACAATAATAGCATCATTTTCTGAAGGCTTACTCTGTTCAAAGAGCATATCAGTGCTTTACAGCCATCTCTCTGATTTTTCCTAGCCACACAGGAAGGTCAACATCTTACCCAGGGTCACACAGCTACAAAGCTGCATTTACATGAACTGTCTATACTATACCCCAGATGCTGGGAACTTTCTAGAAAATAGACTATTTGACTTGGTGGTCTTACTCCCCTGATGCCACTCAGTGCCGAATTTCTTCCTCCTTGCACGAGGTGTGCCTTAGGCTCTGTAGGTGCTTTTTATCTTATCTGGCCCTTTCCCCCCTCACTTTGTGAGTTGTCACGTTTGTCATTCTAGGATAAACTTTCAGCCGGTGCAGCACGTACTTTGGGGTCATTGCCCTGTGTTACCCCAAGGATTGTTCAAATATTTGTGATCTTGTCAAGCTCCCTCTTACTGGATGTGTGTCATGGCAGTGTGGGAGGGGCATTTTATTCGGGGGGGATAAATGTGAGCCAGTGAGTAGCAAGCAGCCCTTCAAGGGAGGCCATGGAAGGCAGGTAGTAAATACACTACTTCTTGGCCCAAGGTCGTATGCAGGTGACCTTCAAGAGGAAAGAGGGAGGTTAGCATTTATTGAGTATTTCCCATGTGCCGGGCACTTTTACACACATGGGTACAGGTGTTGTTCACAAATGCACTGAAAGGATTCTAAGAACCATTTCACTGATAAGAAAACCAAGGCTGAAAGTTTATCAGCTGTTCTACAGGGGTTCTGATATTGCGTGTGCATGTGTGTGTGTGTGTATACACACCATAGACTTTTGGCAGTCTACTGAAGTCTCGGGATCCCTTCTCAGAATAGTGTTTTAAAATACGTAAAATAAGATAGTTAAATAAGATTACTAAAGAAATCAACTGCATTGAAGTACAGTTATCAAATAGGAAAGAAATTGTAATATGGTGATATTTGTGCTTCTTTTTCAACTCGTGAAATATCAAGTCCCAGCAGCAGATCTAATAACAACCACGATGGCAGAGGTGTCATGAGGTTAAAGTACATCAAGTTATCTGTGACATATGTGATGTGATATGCCAATATCAGTGATATTTATTGGTGACAAAGTCACAAAGGTTCCCAAATCCTGCTACATATATGTTGCCTATATTCAGAATTAACAGAAAGAAATACTTAATTTCAGTTTGAGGCTGGTCAACAAAGATATGACGTATTTTCTTTCTGTCCAGGTTCACGAGTGCCCTGAATTCCATCCACAGAGCTATTGGATGTTTGGAGCCCAGGTGAAGATCCCAGAGCTGGGGAACGAAAGGTTGGAAAAGCCCAGCCAGCTGTGCAAGCCTCCAGAGACACTCTCTTGACTGCGGTGAGGTGCCTGCCACAAAACCCCTAGCTCCCTGCTCTTCAACCTCTGGCTTTGGCGGCAGGTGAACCAGTTAGCCATGCCAGGAGGCAGAAAGGGCAGAACGCAGAGCCTGCCTTTTGAAGCCTTTTGCTTCCTTTGATGTGCAGATTTTATCAAGGTCCTTTCTGGAGTTGGGCAAATCCCAGTTGCCTTCTTCAAATCCTCCTTTTGAGAATATTTCCAGAGAATCCCCAAACCGCTCTCCTATGGTTTATTTTAGGCTGCTTACTTGCTTGCATTCATTTATTTACTTATTTATTTATTTTGCAGAGGAAAGTGATAGCCTGCTGGGCTGGACCTGGACTTTGAGACAGAACTTTCGAATCCGAAGAAGAGATGATTTTCAGATAGTCCTCCTTCCAGGTCAGGTTTAAGAAAAATAGTGAAGGGAAATATTAATAAACATGATCAAAATATTCATGTGTAATAATTAAGCAATTCAGCGCCTTGAACTTAACAGGTTTAAGTTGAAATTCCTTAGTGGATACGTGATTTTAGAGAAGTGGATTAAACTTTCTAAACTTCTCTTTACATATAAGGAAACCGAGGCAGGCTCAGAGAAGCTAAGTAGCTCTTTTGAGTCCACACAGCTAGTAAGGGGATGCTGAGAGTAGAATGCAGGTCCATCTGACTATATGACTATCTGGCTGAGGAAGGAAGAGAGGCTGCTGCTCTGCAGTACCCTACCAACAAGGACAATAATAACCAGAGCAACAGTAGCTACCCCTAAAGAAACACGGACTCCATGCTAGGCACTATAGCAGGCATTTCAATGAGTTTTCTTTCATCCTCCCAATGGCCCTGCGAGGTAGGGATGATTCCCCACTTTCCACTAAAGAGAATCCTGAGATCAGAGAGGTGAGATGATTTTTGCAAAGTCACACAGCCATGGATGGCAAAACCCAGGTCTGGCCGAGCCAGGAAACTTTCCTCAACCATGTCCAGAAGTAAAGTTCCTGAGGCCTCTCTTGGAGATAGGGAATTATGATTTCCAAAGCAGAACTCCAAACAGTTCCACTCTGAATGAGTTGACAGTGGCAATTGGTCCCTTGAGATAAAAGTCAACAATGGCTATGCTGAAGCTATAGCATTGAGGGAAGGGATCTTGAACTTTGGAATAGGCCAAAGAAGGAGGAGGCAAGGGAGGACCTGAAATGCGCTGGAAGAAGGCATTCAGCAACCTCATAGCTTTCCAGCGCTTGCTAGGGCTGCAGGAATGAAACGAGGCTGTGGCTTCTTTCCAAGCTGACCTGAAGGCTGCAAGATGTGATGGCTGTTGCCGGAGATGTTCTTTGACACAGCTACCAGCATTGCAGAAGCATGACAATATCTCCAGCATCACCTTCCTGAGTCCAAAACTCTGTAAATTTGAACTCAGAGAGAGACACAAGATCCCAGCATGATGCTCCTATGGTACTGTGGGACCTGGATTGGGACTTAGAATCCCATGCAAGGGTATGAGTCTTGTCCATTCTCCCAGCCTCCCTTGCAGCCCAGAGCTCACATCTGCAGCCCATCTGGCTAGGCTTAGGAGTGCAGTCCACGGTCAGGGAAAAGGAAGTCTCTCTGTGTGTATTTCAGGCCTGGCCTGGACAGCCTAACACTCCTCCCAGGCCAAGATCAGCGGATAAAATCAGTCCAATGAGCTGCTTGTCAGAGAAGCTTCTGGCCTTGACTTTCAGATTCCTGAGTCATCTCTCCTTGGGCCTATCCTCTGTTGGACTTCCTTGCAGGGGCCTTTGATGAACAGATGAGATAATAGATATGCTTTGAAAAAGATAAAATGCTGAACAAAGTGTTTTGCTGGCCACTGCAATGAGTGCCATGGATTGGTTAAACCTTGAATCTCCTTCCTGTCCAAGGGCAAAGACTTCTCCCAACCTCTGCATCTCTAAGACAGCCAGTTTGTGTGGTGACAAGCACCCTGCACCCCCCAACCACTCAGGGTAATAAACTCAGCAGCCATTAGTAACAACAGTTAGAAGATGGGCTTATATGTTAGGCACATTTCATCCACCAACCAATGGAATCATCAAAACAAGCATGAAATAGGGGTATGGATTTTCCCACTCTATGGACAAAAAACCCTGATGCATGGGGAAGTCAAAAAACATGCCCAAGATCTTACAGCTACTTGGTACAGATTTAGGATTTGGACCCAAGCCTACTCATTCCAATCTCCAACAAAACATGAGGGATTTAGCGATGATGTCCTCAGCTAGAATAAAATATAACACAATTGGAACAAGAAACATGTGGTTTGACAAACATGTCCCTGATAGCTCTTCCAAATTTGCAGAAAATATGACTTTTCCTCATCACTGCAGCTGGAGATCTTGGCGTGAGTTGTATGAAGTGGAGGTTCCGCTGCAGGGAGATGCGAGATCATAGCATTATTCTGTTGGCTGAGACCTTGATGGTTATTTAGGGCCAGCAAACCCTTCACAATAGTCACGCCAAGAGCTGTCCAGCCAATGCTTGGACACTTGCAGAGATGAGGAACTTATTCCTGCAAGGTGGTTTAGTCTAGTCCCAGATATCTCATCATTATTTATCACTCCTTTGGGCAAATTGATGACAGGATGTATTAAAATTGAAAACGTGCTCTTCCTACTGTCCAGCAAGTACACCCTTACAGAGATGCGGGAGGAGGGTAAAGAGGGTTTCACAGCTACACTGTATTAGCAAAAAAATCGGAACCAACCTGTATATCTCCCAATAAAGCAGTGATGCCAAAAAAGTAAAATATTCCTTCAATGGAACATTATATAGTCATAAAAAAGAACATACTAAGTCTATAATGTATCCCTATGGAGAAATCTCAGAGAAACAATGATGAATAAAAAGAGCATGCTGCTGAAAATTTAGTACAGTGTAGTAAGACTATTCATGCTTAGAGCAACAAAAAACCAAGCTATATATTTTCTATGGTAAAGACATGGGTGCAAAGGTGTTTGAAAAGTTCTACAAAGGTAATTAACAAATTGACAATAGATACTTCTGGGGGAGCAGGGAGAGAAGAAGGCTCCAAACTTATTTGTAGCATTAAATGATATTTTAAAGGAAGATAAGTTACTATATGTTTAGGTAATTAAAATTTATCCGAAAGTCTTTAATGAGAATTTCTTTCTATTATATTGTGCTGAAATCTGCTGTATCTTTAGCGTCTTTAATTTGCTCTATTTTCTCCCCCAGAGAATATGTGAAGGTGGGGTTTGAAACTTTTCTGAACCAAAAACCTCTGTTTCCACAACTATTACTAATCTGCCTCAGTTTCCCAGTTCCTTACTTCCCAAATTCTCTGTTATACAAACTCTTATTGCTCTCTCCTCTCCTTTCCTTTCCTTTCCTCCCTCCCTCCTTTCCTTCCTTCCTGCCTTCCTGCCTTCCTGACTGCCTTCCTGCCTCCCTCCCTCCCTCCCTCCCTTCCTTCTTTCTTTCCTTCCTTTCTTTTTTCCTTCCTTCTTTCCTTCTTCCCCATTTCCTCCCTCGCTATGTCCCTCCTACCCTCTCTGAGATTAAAACATTCAAAAAAGATTGGGCACAGTGGCTCACGCCTGTAATTCCAGCACTTTGGGAGACCGAGGCAGGTGGATCATGAGGTCAAGAGATTGAGACCATCCTAGCTAACATGGTGAAACCCTGTCTCTACTAAAAATACAAAAAATTAGCCAGGTGTGGTGGCAAGTGCCCGTAGTCCCAGCTACTTGGGAGGCTGAGGCAGGAGAATAGCTTGAACCTGGGAGGTGGAGGTTGCAGTGAGCCGAGATCGCGCCACTGCACTCCAGCCTGGGCAACAGAGTGAGACTCTGTCTCAAAAAAAAAAAAAAAAAAAGGAACATATCTCAAAATAATAAGAGCTATTTATGACAAACCCACAGCCAATATCATACTAAATGGGCAAAAACTGAGAGCATTCCCTTTGAAAACTGGCAGAAGACAAGGATGCCCTCTCTCACCACTCCTATTCAACATAGTATTGGACATTCTGGCCAGGGCAATCAGGCAAGAGAAAGAAATAAAGGGTATTTAAATAGGAAGAGAGGAAGTCAAATTGTCTCTATTTGCAGATGACATGATTGTATATTTAGAAAACCCCATCGTCTCAGCCCCAAATCTCCTTAAGCTGATAAGCAACTTCAGCAAAGTCTCAGGATACAAAATCAATATGCAAAACTCACAAGCATTCCTATACACCAATAACAGACAGAGAGCCAAATCATGATTGAACTCCCATTCACAATTGCTACAAAGAGAATAAAATACCTTGGAATACAACTTGGAATACAACTTACAAGTGATGTGAAGGACCTCTTCAAGGAGAACTACAAACCACTGCTCAAGAAATAAGAGAGGACACAAACAAATGGGAAAACATTCCATGCTCATGGATAGGAAGAATCAATATTGTGAAAATGGCCATACTGCCCAAAGTAATTTATAGATTCAGTGCTATCCCCATCAAACTACCATTGATTTTCTTCACAGAATTAGAAAAAACTACTTTGATTTTCATATGGAACCAAAAAAGAGCCCATATAGCCAAGAAAATCCTAAGCCAAAAGAACAAAGCTGGAGGCATAACGCTACCTGACTTCAAACTATATTACAAGGCTACAGTAACCAAAACAGCATGGGACTGGTACCAAAACAGATATATAGACCAATGAAACAGAACACAGCCCTCAGAAAGAACACCACACATCTACAACCATCTGATCTTTGACAAACGTGAAAAAAACAAGCAATGGGGAAAGGATTCCCTATTTAATAAATGATGTTGGGAAAACTGGCTAGCCATATGCAGAAAACTGACACTGGACCCCTTCCTTACAACTTATACAAAAATTACCTCAAGATAGATTAAAGACTTAAACCTAAGACCTAAAACCCTAAAAACCCTAGAAGAAAACCTGGGCAATACTATTCAGGACATAGGCATGGGCAAAGACTTCATAACTAAAACACCAAAAGCAATGTCAACAAAAGTCAAAATTGACAAATGGGATCTAATTAAACTAAAGAGCTTCTGCACAGCAAAAGAAACTATCATCAGAGTGAACAGGCAACCTACAGAATGGGAGAAAATTTTTGCAATCTATCCATCTGTCAAAGGGCCAATATCCAGAATCTACAAAGAAACAAATTTACAAGAAAAAAACAAACAACCCCATCAAAATGTGGGCAAAGGATATGAACAGACAATTCTCAAAAGAAGACATTTATGTGGCCAACAAACATATGAAAAAAAGCTCATCATCACAGGTCTTTAGGGAAATGCAAATCAAAATTATAATGAGATACCATCTCACGCCAGTTAGAATGGCGATCATTAAAAAGTCAGGAAACAACAGATGCTGGAGTGGATGTGGAGAAATAGGAATGCTTTTACTGTTGTTGTTGGGAATGTAAATTAGTTCAACCATTGTGGAAGACAGTGTAGAGATTCCTCAAGGATCTAGAACTAGAAACATCATTTGACCCAACAATCCCATTACTGGGTATATACCCAAAGTATTATAAATCATTCTACTATGAAGACAGATGCACTCATATGTTTATATTGGCACTGTTCACAATAGAAAAGACTTGGAACCAACTCAAATGCCCATCAGTGATAGACTGGATAAAGAAAATGTGGCACATATACACCATGGAATACTATGCAGCCATAAAAAAGGATGAGTTCATGTCCTTTGCGAGGACATGGATGAAGCTAGAAACCATCATTCTGAGCAAACTAACACAAGAACAGAAAACCAAACACCACATGTTCTCACTCATGACTGGGAGTTGAACAATGAGAGCACATGGACACAGGGAGGGGAATATCACACACTGGGGCCTGTCGGGGGGTCGGGGGCTAGGGGAGGGATAGCATTAGGAGAAACACCTAATGTTGATGACGGGTTGGTAGGTGCAGCAAACCACCATGGCACATGTATACCTATGTAACAAACCTGCACATTCTGCACATGTACCTCAGAACTTAAAGCATAAAAAAAAATTCAAAAAAAAAAAAAGAAGAAGAAACCAAGACCCACCCATAGTTCTATCATCTGGAATAAACCATTATGAACATGTTGGCATATTTTGTAACTGTCTCTCTTTTATCTTTACACTTTTCAAAATTACTCAATGAATACCCGAACGCACAGCTTTTAAATACCATTGGAATATCACAGTAAAGCTAAACTCCTCTCTATGCATACTCCTGGTTCCAATTCTATGCTCTCAACCAGGCTATCCACACAAACACAATATACTATTATGAACTCAGAGCATATACTCTCATTTTAATATAATTTTCCATACTTATACATGAACCCTTAAAAATATAGAGGTCCTCTTGGGTGTTTTAAATGTCATAGATGGGATATGAATCACTTTGCAAACAGAATTTTCTCTCCATATTCTCAGAAATCTCCCTGTTGACACATATAACTCTGGTTTGTCTACTTTGCTTGCAGTATTAAAACATGTGCATGCATAACACTGCACGTATCCAGTCCCCTGTTGATGGACATCTCAATTGATTCCAATTTCTTCTATCATAAATTATTCTGTAATGGACATACTTGTATATGTCTCCTTGTGCAAAAATATAAGAGTTTCTCCAGGAGAGACCTCCAGAAGTGACGTGCACCTCTTTCCCTTAATAAGCAAGAGTATCTAGAATTGAATCCACTCATCTGAATGTGGTCTCATCAGACCCTTCCACAAATATTTCATGGGGAAGCCACTATGTGTGATTATACTAGGCAGACAGAATATAAGACAAGCACAGTCCCTTCTTTCTTAGATCTTATAACCTCATGAAGGAGACCAGCAGTAAGCAAATATTTCGGATTGTTGGGTAAATACAGACACGCAATGTGCTGTGAAGATGGAGAAGGACGAGGGCACCACGACAGGTCACCCAGCCTAGCCCATGGTTAGTGAAGGCTTACTGGAGGAGCTAACTTGCCTACTTGAAAAAATAGGTCAGTTGAAAAATGGATGGTAGAGGATCATTTCAGCAGAGGAAGCTTGAGGCGATTGAGAAGAAACTGAGCAGGCTGTAAAATAGGGCTAAAAATACTCCCCAGCACTTTGAGTTACAGAGAGGATAAAATGAGAAAATTCATGTAAAGCATTTAGCATAGGGCCTTGAACATGGGCACATTCAATCAATGGTAGCAAAAATCATAGTAGTAATAATAATAATAATGTGTGACTGCTTCTTTAAAGAGCAAAAGGGAGCAGATACTCCCCCTGGGAATAAGAAAGGCAAATGTCCATGTGCGAGCTCCAGACTGTCCCCAGAGGCAAGGTGGTCAGTTACTGACTGACCGATGACCTTGAGCCTCGCCACTTTTCCTGGAAGCCTTTAGTCTTGAATCCAAGGGTGTCTCTCCAGATGGACCGTGGGTGTGGAGCTGAGCAACTACTCTGTCATTGATCATCCCCTGTGGTCCAGATGCTTCCCCAGAGGGTTGATTAGTGGGTGAGTGGGAGGTGCCCTCGGGGGTCTTATCAGCTGTGTCTGCAGAAGAGGCCAGAAGAGGAGGGTGAGGGTGGGATACAGCTCAGCCGTACTCTTTGAGGCTTCTGGCCTCTGTTTTCAGGCATGGACTCTTTATAATCCCTGTCAGATGTAGACAGGGAGGGCTGCTATAGTAGAACCTCTAAATCAAGGATAACAAAAGTCGACTGTCTATTGCACTTTTTCTAAATACGAATGCACTGTGCTAACCATATGCTACCTTGCTAAAGCCTTTCTGCAACTCCGTGATGGGGGTTCTATCTCATACTCACTTTCTGCACTGGGTAAGCTAAGGCTCAGAGAGGTCAAGTCACTTTCCCAAAGCCAGTTTTGTCAGCTGCAAACTCAGACTTTTATCCATTAGGCCGTTAATACAATCCTCTTTCCTTCCAACTCTGCCACTTGGGAGCTGTGATCTTAGACAAGGGACGTAACCCCTGCATGTCTTGGTTTATTGGACTGTATTATGAAATGAAGAAAATACTTCTTAGGGTTGTCAAAAGGATTAACATGAATTAATGTATGTCCAAGGTTCATGGCAATACCTGGCTTGCCACAGTAATGCAGTTGTGAGTTATTTGAATTATGATTATAGTTTTTTCTTTGGTGTGTGTTGGTGGCTTGTATTTTTCCATTTTGCAAATGACCTTTTCATAGATTTTCTTCACTAGATTTGTGTTTTGCTAAGGGTCTTTTTTGAAGACTGGACAAACTATGTGTTTTCCCTAAGGGGAAAAAAAGGGAAATGGTTGTACTCACCACTATGCCCCCACATGCATGTGGGATGGAAATTGACCACAAGGTCTGCAACCAATGTGACTTTTAACTTTCTGTAGCCTTCAATGTCAAGGCAGAACTTCAGGGTGGTGCCCTTCAGAGAATGTCAGTGTGGTGGCCTCCAAGCTGGGAGACCAGCAGAAAGACACCAGGGAGAACACCAAACCAAGAGCTCACGCAAGAGTTAAATGGAGTCCCCTCCCAAAGAGACCACCCAGAAACACATCGGCTTCACCGAAGAGATCCAAGTTCTTCCAAGAGAAGATCCATCTCCCTTTTGCAACTGAAGTGACCTGAACTCCTTAGGGGCCTCTTCCCTGTCTGACTTCCTGCTTGGGACTTCTCCAAACCTTCTCTCCTTAAACCCTGGCTGACTAGCTCCCTCTTTTCAATATCCGTTCCCTCCATACCCCCCTGCCCTTGGCCCTGCCCCAGATCCTGGCAACATCCTGTTCTTCCCCTGAACTAAACTCCCTCTCCAGCTTCCCAGTGTGATAGGAATCTTAAATAAATGCTTCCTGTCTCTTGACCACCTTATCTCCCATTCCTCCCGAATGGCTGACGTTCAAGAACCACAAGCAGTGTTGCACTCCCTTCTAATTTTAAACCTGCCCTCTGAGGCTCTCTCTTCTTCCTTCTTAAGGTTCCGGGAAAGGCCAGGCGGGTGTCAGAGGTCTTTGTCAACCCGCTGAGTCAGCAGAGGCAGAAGGCATTCTTCTTAAGTTCCCAGGGAGAGACTGGAGCTAAAGATCCTGGGTGACGCCACGTTGCAGTGCCTGCCCCAGAGAGAACTGCATGGACCAGGTACTTGGTGCAACTTTCTTATATTCATGAAGGACCATGAGAATGATTAAGGTGGGAATAAACCCAAACATGTCTATGAAGTAATAAGCTAGGAAAATTTGTACATGCACACACACACACACGAGTTGTCCTTTGTAAAGTGTACATGTCCAATATTCAGTCTTTTATTAACAAAATGTTGATTTCTACATTCACAGTCCTTGGAAGATTGGGTTCCAGGGATGTCATGTGACCCTCTCAGGCCCAGACAATCAGAGTGTTGCTGGCCAGTGATTGGATCTGAATGAGCATGTGTCTCAAGTCTGACCAATTGGAGTCAACAGAGACTCAACACTGAGTTTTTTCTTTGAGCCCTTGAGAGGGGGGTTATGTGCTATCAGGTGGTTGCAGCTAAGAGCATAAGAAGTCAGCTGACTTGATGGTGGTGAGGATTTCCTGGGTGTATGCTTATCCCAAACTGTGTCTATTTAAAATATACACAGGTTTTTATTATGTCGATCATGCTTCAATAAGGTGGTTTTTTAAAAAAGTCTGCTGAAAGCTGGAAGCGGCCACTTCAACATCACCCTCAGAATGGAGCATACTCAAGGGGAAGCCAAGCTGGAGTACAGAACAAGGAAAAGACTTGGTCTCATCTGAATCCATGAACGCAGCTCTGTCTGAAAGTGATTCTTCTGGAATTTTCAATGACTGGAGTCCGTAAAGTCCCTTCGTCTTAGTTTTTTGATCATTCATAATCACACACAAACACACACACACCCCACCCACACTCATACAAACATACACAATGAGGTGTGGATAAAATGAATAATCTATACTTGTACTGAAAATATATTAGTACATGCCTGGCACGGTGGCTCATGCCTGTAATCCCAGCACTTTGGGAGGTCGAGGGGGGCAGATCACGAGGTCAGGAGATCGAGACCATCCTGGCTAACACAGTAAAACCCCGTCTCTACTAAAAATACAAAAAATTAGCCAGGCGTGGTGGCGGGCGCCTGTAGTCCCAGCTACTCGGAAGACTGAGGCAGGAGAATGGCGTGAACCCAGGAGGCGGAGCTTGCAGTGAGCGGAGATCGCGCCACTGCACTCCAGCCTGGGCAACAGTTCGAGACTCTGTCTCAAAAAAAGAAAAAAAAAAAAGAAAGAAAATGTATCACTACCAAGATGTATTTTTAAAATGACTCTCTGAGTAAAACATTATTAGTCCCATTTCATGGGCTACTGAATAATAATACTGAAGCTCAGAGAATTGAAGATGTTTGCCCAAGATCACTCAGCTAGGAAGTTACAGAGCCCAGATTTAAATTCAGGGCTGCCCACGCCAAGGTCCTTGTTCTTTGCAAAACACGGAGCCATCTTTAAAGGCAGCTGAAGGAGCTCTTCTAGTCTAGATTACAGGATGTGACTTTGGCCACCATAATTAACTACAAGGACCCTGAGGTCTCATATATGCCACCCTCCTTTGTAGCCACTTCGTCGTCTTCCTTCACACATTTGCCTTTCTCCTTTTATCCCTCCCCTTCCTGGTTATGTCTGATCCCATCCACAGCCCTCTTCACCTTCTTAATAACTACATCATTCTATGAAACAGTTGAATTTGACCTTTTTTTTTTTTTTTTTTGAGACGGAGTTTTGCTCTTGTTGCCCAGGCGTGAGTGCAATGGCACAATCTCAGCTGACCACAACCTCCGCCGCCCCGGTTAAAGCGATTCTCCTGCCTTAGCCTCCCGAGTAGCTGGGATTTCAGGCACGTGCCACCACGCCAGGCTAATTTTGTATTTTTAGTAGAGACGGGGTTTCTCCATGTTGGTCGAGCTGGTCTCGAACTCCCGACCTCAGGTGATCTGCCCACCTCAGCCTCCCAAAGTGCTGGGATTACAGGCGTGAGCCACTGCGCCTGACTCGACCTTTATGTTTCTTCTTAGACTGTTCCATTCACTCCTCTTCCTCAGTTCACTTCTTCAGCAAGAGTATGTCCCAGGGTTCACCCTTAGTTCACTCCTCGGCTTTTAACTTGTCTCTTGCTTAAGCCTCAGACCCATAAACACCCACGTGTGTCTCCTCACATCTGCTCCTGGATGTCCCCCAGGCACCTCAAGCTTGGGCTGTCCAAAAGAGAGCTTAACACCTTCCCCCTAACCTGCTGTTGCACTTCTGTTCCCCAGTGCATCCGTGGCATGCTTGGCCTTCCACTCAATCAAACTGGAAGAATCTTGGAGTCTTGTTCAACTTCATCTTGTTCCACGCTTGTCCCACCTAATCAATCATCCATTCCTGTGACTTTTACTTCCCGTATAATCCCCAGGCTCACCCTCACTCTCCATTCCAATGAGCACTGTGCGTGTGATGGGATGAGTGAATAACTGACGGTGTGCATCAGGCTTTGGGAAACCACTCCTGGGTTTGTACACCGTTTCTTTGTCAGTGTGCGAAATGAGACCCCAACACGCAAGAGTGTGTGTGTTATATTTCTCTGGGTTGCTGTCTTCTATATCTAGTGATAGCTTATAATCGAGATTATTACAGGTTTAAGGACTTCACACTTTATTAAATGTGAGTCAACTCTTTCTTGACCATGTAGTATGTGTTTGTATGTCTGCACACGTGTCTGGGAACATGTGTGTTTTTAGGTTTCCCTGCCACCCTTACTCGCATAGTGCCCCGTATACACATGTCACAAAATGTGGACAATTCCACAGATGTTCCTTTCTCCAAATCCCAAACTTGCTTCTTTAACTAGGTCATGGTTAGTGCCATTTTCCTACTCCATCCCTTGTTTGCTATAACACTACTTACCTCATCTGAAAGTTGAACACAGCATAGATATTTACTAGAGAGGGCTGCTGAGTGGATTAAACCGGGATATGCCTGCAAAGTACTTAATTTGTACCTGGGAAATAGAAGCATCTAGTACATTATAGTACTATTGCTATGATTTTTAATATTATTATTATAAGGGAAAGAGAGATTTTTAAATTCTCATGTTCTTTCTGGGTCATGTCCTTAAAATTTCACTTCTTGATAAATTATTACAGACAGCTAAGACAGAGCAGTTCCCTTTTCATCCTGAAAATGAGCAGCACCTCCTTAATTGGTAGCCATTGGCAGAATCAGAGTGCCTGTCCTCTCACTGTTTATATTAGCAGATTTCATTAATCACACATAAGATAGTAGACATTACTATCTCACCACACTATGTGTTAAAAAATACTTAATTGTGTCTGAATAGATGTTTGTACCCTCAGAGAAAATATCAGAATGGAAACTCTTTAAACATGATTTTCTTTATATGCCCTTTTAGTTTCAATGAACAGTAGCTCATTGAAAAAGTTGAAGAGATGAGAACTAACTTCAATTGTGTTCCCATTATAAAACAGTGACTTGACTAATGTTAGCAGTCATAGCAGCTCTCTTTTGCCTTAGTTTCACCGGTGTGGAAACCGAGGCTCTGAGAATCTAAGAGACCTGCCCAAGTTGGCAGGGTTGGTCGTTCTCCATGCAAAGCAGTACGTGCAGTATTTAAGAGTATGGGCTCTGGAGAGAGGTTGCTTAGGTTCAAATCCTAGTCCTGCCACTTGCTAACTTTTTGATCTTTACACAGGTCATTAAACATCTCTGTGTCTCAGTTTTTCTACTTATAAAATGGGGATAATAGTACCTGTCTGATGGGGTTGTTGTGCTAATTAAATAAGAGAGTATATGTTAAGTATTTATCCAGTGCATGGCATGTGTGAAGCACTAAGCAAATGTGAGCTTTTATTATATTCCAGCTACACGAGCAGTATTTCTTTCTGGACTAGATACAAACCTTGTTCTTGCCTCAGGGCCCTTGCACTTGCTTTTCCCTCTGCCTGGAATGCTTTTCCTCCAGATCTTCACAGGAAAGGCTCCTTCTCATTCCCTTAGCTTTGCTCTGACCACCCTGTTGAATGTCACCCCAAACTATTGCACAATGTCACATTAAACTTTTTGTTGTCCTTGGAGTATTAATTCTGACATAAAATTATCACATTCATATTTCTGCTGGTTTACCTATTATACATCTCCCCAGTTCTAGTGTCTGTCTCACTCCCAACTGTATTCTTAGCAGTATGTACAGGAGCTAAGTAGTAGGCACATAGTAGGTAATCAATAAATGTGCATTGAAAAAAATGATGAATGGGTCATTAAGGGTATAAAGTAATGTCTGTTGGACTCCAAATCCTTTCTGTGCCAAGCTACTTTCAAAGCTAACAACTTCTGGCAGGAATGAAGGAGCCAAAGTCCTCTTTTTTTTTTTTTTTTTTTTTTTTTTTTTTTAACCTTGAGACAGGTCTTTCAACATCTCTGTGCTCTAAAGAGACACTCAGAGGGCCAACCATTTCACAGCTCAATGAGGATAGGAAGCCCAGACCTATAAGCCCTCAAAGATAGCTGGGTTCTTTAGGCTGCTCCAATTTCTGTTGACATTAACCTCTTGATAAAAGAACAATCTCAGGGCTGCTCAGCATGTATCAGTCAGGATGAGTGAAGTGTTGCAGTAACAAACAACTCCTGAAAGCTTAGTGGCTTAACCAATATATCCTTCAAGGGTCAGCCAAGTGTGATTGTCATCCTCATTCTCAGTTGCAGGCTGGCAGAGCAGTCGCTGTATCAGAAGTCAATGAGAATGTGATAAAACACAGCGGCTCTTAAAGCTTTTGCCCAGTAATAAATATATCACTTTTGCTCATATATCATTGGCTAAAGCAAGTCTCATGGCCATGCCAAAATTCAATGGGATAGAAAAGATATTCTGTCAGATGGAATCCTGAATATTGATGGGTGATGTTATAGTCCTCTACACAAAGTCAAGATGATGTCCTATTGCCCTTTTCTCTATATCTCATCAAGAATCAAGACTGGGGAGAAAACTTTTTCTCAAAGGGCCAGTAGTCAATATTTTAGTCTTTTTTTTTTGTCTCTGCTACAACTTATTCTTTTATGTGTCTCTGTTACAACTACTCCACTTTGACATTGCAGAATGAAAACAGCCATAGACAATATGTAGCCAAATGGGCATGGTGGTGTCCCAGTAAAGATTTATTTACAGAAACAAGTGATGGGCCAAATGTGGTCTATGATCTGCAGTTTACCAGCCACTGGTATAGATCATTTTCTGACCTGTGGTGGCTCCTCAAGCACCCTCTCCCTGCAACCTTATTTAATTGCTAACATCTTTGGAGTCCTTGCTATAATAACACGAATCATGTTTGCCAGTAAGATCTCATCTAACCCTCAGGATTCTAGGAGAGAGGATTTATCCACATTTTATGAGAAAACCAAGATGAGGAGAGATGAAGTGGTTATGGGACTTGCCCAAGTTCTCGTAGCTGGGAAGAGGCAGAGCTGGGATTAACACTCAGAGGTGACTCTAGCCCAGTCAGCAACCACTACTCTCTGCTACTGTTTCTTCAGGTCTCTTGTCCACTCCCACAGCCTGGGTCCCCAGATCAGCCTCACCAATACCTTGTTATGTTTATCTGTAAAAGGGAGTCAGTGATAGCATACATCTTATGGTAAAAGTTCAAGGAGATCATGCTCATAATGTTCTTAGCACAGGGCTTGGCTTCTGGCAAGCACCTAATGAAAGATACCTGTGAGTGTGGTGAGGATGACTGTTAAGGCAAAGATATTAAAGGTCATGCAAAGGCCCGGACGTAGTGGCTCATGCCTGTAATCCCAGCACTTTGAGAAGCCAAGGTGGGTGAATCACTTGAGGTCAGGAGTGCAAGACCAGCCTGGCCAACATGCTGAAACCCCATCTCTACTGCAAATACAAAAATTAGCCAGGCATGGTGGTGGGCGCCTGTGATCCCAGCTACATGGGAGGCTAAGGCATGAGAATCACTTGAGCCTGGGAGGCAGAGGTTGCAATGAGCCAAGATCATGCCACTGCACTCCAGCCTGGGTGACAATGCGAGACTCTGTCTCAAAAAAAAAAAAAAGTCATGCAAAGCTGGGGCTTTATTCATGATGGAGTTCCCATGTGGCACTATGGTTTTGGCTTTGGCTTCAAATCAGGGCTCTGCCAGTCCACACTCTGTGGTCAGAAACTGGTTCTGAAACTTCTCTAAGTGTCAGTTTCCTCATCTGTAAAATGGGAATAAGAGTGCCTACATGTATAGGGTTGTATATGAAGGTAAAATAAAATAACATAATACTTAAAATAGAGTAAGTCATATAAGAAGCACTATGCATGTGCTAGTTATATTATTCTGCAAATTAAAACAATTGTGGACATTTTCACAAGTCTTTTTTTTTTTTAATAGCTGTGTAGTATTCTAAGGCAGAGGTCAACAAACTACAACTTACTGGCCAAATTCTGCCTCTTGCCTATTTTTGTAAGTAAAGTTTTACTGGAACAAAGCCATGTGCATTCATTTACACATTGTGACTACTTTGACACTATAATGGCAATGTTTGAGTAGTTGCAGTTGCTAAAGACAGGAGCTGTATGTTCCAAAAAGCCTAAAATATTTACCACTTGGCCCCTGACAAGTATTTTGATGGCCTTGTTCTAAAGGATTATAGCACCTATTGATAGACATTCAATTGAGTCCATATTTTTTTGCTATCACATCCATATACATGTATTTTTGTACATTCATGCTGATAGATCTGTAGGATAAATTCTTAGGTGCTGAATTGCTGGGACAGCTAGAAAGTGAGTTTCTGAGAGCAAAGGGTGGTAGCTATTTTAAGCGTTGAGCTTCTTGATAGAATAGACACCAGACCTTTTTTGTTTAAGAGAAGAACAAGCTGTGAGTCAGCTTAAAGTTACTTATAATTTTGCACAGATTTGGAATGTTTTATAATTCTTCACTTATAACTCCAATGGTTCAAACATAAAATCAGGGCAACTTAGAATCTAACTACATTTTCATCAAAGTTTTATGCAGCAATTGGCACTTTTCATGTCTCTGGCCCAGGTGCTGTACAAGGCAATAGAGATATGAAATCTTGAAGAATTTCATCTTTAGTGCAGTGGATTTTAAACATGTTTGAACCTTGAAGTTCTTTGGGAACTCAGCCTAAGGAGCTTCTATTCCCCAAGTTGCACATTTCCATACAATTTTTCAGATAGTTTCAAGGGGTTGACAGCTTCCTTTGAAACCCATTCATTGACTCTCTGTAAGTTCTTGGAATAAAAACCCTTCTTCTAAAGGGAGAGACCTGTACACAACCAAATAGCATAAAGTATCATGAATGGTGTATTTGAGGTGCATACAAACCATAGTGTGTGCACAGGCGTGGGATAGTCAACATTGCTTTGTGAGAGAGCATGGAGTTGACAAAATCAAGGAAAGCATCTCATAAAAACTGGAACTCGAAGGATACATCTGAGTTCTCCGAATGGTCTATAAAGTGGGTAGGCAATTTCATCAATGATACTCAGTTTGAGTATGGTGAATTCTGAGAAGATACTAATGCGGATGCTTGTAAGTCTGGACTATTTCTGGTTTTTACTGACTCTAGAAAATGAGAGCAAATGTTTTAAACTCAGTAGTTCCTTCCATCTCTCCAATCCCCCACAATGGCAACATCAAATGAGAACCAGAACGACACTCACTCTCTCCCTCTTTAAAGTTGTCTGGAATCCAGAGATAAAAGGCTTCATGTTAATAAAATAACATTCTGAATGTTAAAAAAGATCCAAGTCTCTGGTTTCGCATTTCAAGACTGAAGTTTATGTTTGTTTGTTTACTTATTTTTCCCACAGCCTGCTTGATCAGACTTGCAGTGGCAATTTGGATTTTTTTTTTTAATTTTTGGTATTTTCTTGAGAGTTAGTAATCATAAAAGGAAAATAGATGAGAAAGCTTCGTGGTCATTTAACCTCAGTGAAGTATCCATATGTATGTCTTCCTATGTGTGCACATGTGTATGCATATGTGCATTTTTTTCTGAAAACTAAAGTACTCTGAGTCATTGAATTTGTGAACATGAAGAAATTGAGCAAATGCATTGAGAAGTAAAAAGCTAGTTTTAAATGTGTGACTTAGAGGTTACTGATGTCACCTGCATCCAAATTGTATCTCAGCCACTGTATTAGTGTCCTACACAGCCATAGAGATTGTCAAATTTGGATGGATTAAAATGACCAAAGTCCTTTCACGGTTCTGGAGATCAGAAGTTTGAATTCAAGTTATCAGTAGGGTTGGTGCCTTCTGGAGTCCTTGAGGGAGAATCCATTCCATGCCTCTCTCCGAGCTGCGGATAGTAGCCAGCAATCAGCCCGCTTTGGCCTGGAGACACATCACTCTAGCACCTGCCTCTGTCTTCACATGGCCTTCCCCCTGTGTGTCTGTGTCTCCAATCTCCTTCTGCCTTTTCTTTATAAGGACACCTGTCATAGGATTTAGAGTTCCCCCTAAATCCAGGACCATCCCATCTCAAGATTTTTAAATTAGTCATACTTGCAAAGACCCTATTTCCAAATAAGGTCACATTCCATTTCTGGAGGATATATCTTTTTGGGACAGCTATTCAACCCACTATAGTCACATACTATGTGAGTGTCCTTGGTCATATTTCTTACCCACTGGTGAGCCTTAATAGCGCTCTCTTATGGAAAGCAGGGTTACTAATAGAAATTTACAGAGTAAGATAATGCATTTAAAGCCCTCTGCACAATTTATAGGGAACTTAAACAATTTTATGAGAAAAGAACACACAACTCCATCAAAAAGTGGGCAAGGGACATGAACAGACTCTTCTTAAAAAAAAGACCTTTATGCAGCCAACAAACATATTTCAAAAACTCAACGTCACTGATCATTAGAGAATGCAAATTAAAACCACAATGAGATACCATCTCACGCCAGTCAGAATGGCAATTATTAAAGTCAAGAAACAACAGATGCTGGCAAGGCTGTGGAGAAATAAGAATGCTTTTACACTGTTTGTGGGACTGTAAATTAGTTCAACCATTGTGGACAACAGTGTGGCAACAGTGTGGCCTCAAGGATCTAGAACCAGAAATACTATTTGACCCAGCAATCCCATTACTGGGTATATAACCAAAGAAATATAAATCATTCTATTATAAGATACATGCATGCATATGTTCATTGAAGCAATATTCACAATAGCAAAGATATGGAATCAACCCAAATGCCCATCAATGATAGACTGGATAAAGAAAATGTGGTACATATACACCATGGAATACTATGCAGCCACAAAAAGAAATGAGATTATGTCCTTCGCAGGGACATGGATGGAGCTGGAAGCCATTATCCTCAGCAAACTAACATAGGAACGGAAAACCAAATACTGCATGTTTTCACTAGTAAGTGGGAGCTGAACAATGAAAACACATGGACACAAGGAGGAAAACAACACACACCCGGGCCTGTCATGGGGGGGTGGGGTAAACAGCTAATGCATGCAGGGCTTAATACCTAGGTGATGAGTTGATAGGTGCAGCAAACCACCATGGCACACGTTTACCTATGTAACAAACATGCATGTCCTGCACATTTATTCCAGAACTTAAATTTTAAAAAAACCCTCTGCACAAAGCCCAGAACACCCAATGCACACAAAGGAAAGGGCAGTGCTGTTATTATTAATGAAAATAATATCAGTCCCACTGTTTGTCAGGCAGGAGCTCTGACACACAGAGAATGGGGCAGCACAGTCTCAAACATCTGAAGAACAAGACCACAGTGCTTTCTAACTCTGGGTGTGTGACATTCTGTAGACACCAGAAGATGACAGAATGTCAAGATGATTGACTCCCCTCTCCCTCTTCCCCCAGACACTGTTTGGCAGGTTGACTGAACCTAAATGTCATGAACTTTTGCCACTAAAGAGGCCCGTGCTTCTTTTTCCAAAGTCAGTTGCCAATGATTCCCATGGACTGCAGGATTAGGTGGCTTCCCCAGATTGGTACACACATAGCCTAGAGGCCCATCAAGGTCTATTGTCATGTTAAGCGTCATGCAAAACTATTGGGTTCAAATCCCAGCATTGCTCTGTGGGAGCTGAGGGCATGAGCAAATTATTTCAACTTTTTGACACTTGCTTTCTTCATCCTTAAACTGGAACCGTGTGTGCCTCTCCCAAGGTTATTCTGAGGGTTAATGAAAGCTAATTATATAATTCCCTTAATACAGGGTCTAGCATTCTGTAAGAACTCAATAATGTTTGCCCGTTAGTGTTGATATCCTAATTCATAATAATATACAATGTATTTATTCAGATGACTTCTATAGAATGGTAGTCAATCTCAATATCACCCCAATTATGTGGTGTTTTGCTTGGCAAGTGATTTCACCGTTTCAAAGGACGTGTTGCTGGGTTGTGGGCTCAAATCCTGATTCCCTTTCTCCCCAGTTTTGTCACTTTAGGCCTTTGAGCTTCTGTTGCTGTCTCTATAAAACAGAGGTAAGAAAACTAGCTCTTCGTATGAAACAGGGACATTCTGGGACTCAAACAAAAGTCTGTGTACTTGTTTGTTCATTCAACAATTATAGTCATGTGCAGCATAACTATTATTAAGTCAATCATGGACCACATATATGATAGCAGTCCCCCAAAATTATAATCCTGTATTTTTACTGTACCTTTTCAGTGTTTAGCTATAGTTAGATACACAAATCCTTACCATTGTGTTACTATTGCCTACAGCATTCAGTACAGTAGCATGCTCTACAGGTTTGTAGCCTAGGAGCAATGGGCTATACCATATAGCCTAGGTGTATAGTAGGCTATATCATCTAGGTTTGTATAGATACATTCTATGAGGGTCACACAACAAAATCACCTAACGACACAGTTCTCAGAAGGTATCCCTGTTGTTAAGAGATACATGAATGCATTTACTGGGTCCCTGCATGTCTCAGGCCTCTCACAGGCACTGGAGAGATGGTAACCAGCAAGACAAAATTCATTCTTGCCCTCAGAGAGCTTAGGGTTTAGAAGGAAAGTGCATTGTAAGCTACAAAGAGCTTTTTATTCTCATTCATCATTATTATACCTTTCTCTCATAGCTAAATACATGTTGGTGGAATAAATTTTATACAGCTTTTCAAATTGTGGCAGTGGGCAAATGTCCCATTGGAAATGAGTGAGCAGTGGGCCAATGCCCTATTGGATATGAGTGGACAGTGGGCCAATGTCCCATTGGATATGAGTGAACAGGGGGCCAATGTCCCATTGGATAGAAGTGAGCAGTGGGCTAATCCTCTATTGGATAGAAGTCAGCAGTGAGCTAATCCTCTACTGGATAGAAGTGAACAGTGGGCCAATGCTCTCTTCTACATTCCCCATTCTCCTTGCTCATGCCTCTCCCATCCAATCAGCAATAGTCACAGTTCCAGGATCATTTTACAAATGCTGAACAATAGCTTTTGAATTCAGACCATTTGCTTTATAGAAATCTAGGTTTCTGGGCTTCAAAAATCTAAGCCTTCTGAATTGTACCCTTAATCTTTATGTTGTATATATTAAATTATGTTATCTATATTTTACCAGATTTTTTTAAGTTAAAAAAACTAAGCCCTGTAATAATCCAGACATAATATCATTGCCATAAACAGAAGACTGGAAGAATGAGTGGTTATGGAAGGCAAATTTCTTCTTGTGCCAAAGGAGAAAGTGTCTTGCTGGAGAATGTAAGTGTGGAAGCAGACACAAGAGCATTAGACAATGGCTTGAGTCCCTGACATGGACCTTGGGCCTGCCCTGTCCTTGCTGGATGGAAATCAAACCTGTAGCAGGGTTTAGAGATCTGTGAGATAGGAGGTCCTGTGCCTCCCTTCAGAGTCATGACTAAGATAAGGAAATGAAGCAGCTAGGGTGAAAGTTGAAGGAGGCTTTCATTCTCAGCTGCAGAACCTCCATTTCCATGCCTCTGAGAATGATTCTTCTTTCAATTTTATGCCCTAGTAACTTCACTGTTTTTAAAAATATTTATTTATTGTGGTAAAATAAACATAACATAAAATTAGTCATTTTCAGCATTTTAAGTGACATTAATTATATTCATGATGTGTGCAACTGATATGGTTCTGCTGTCTCCCCACCCAAATCTCATCTTGAATTGTAGTTCCCATAATCCCCATGTCTCAAGGGAAGAACCCAGTGGGAGGTAATTAAATCATGAGGGCAGTTACCCTTATGCTAGTATAGTGATAGTGAATGAGTTATCATGAGATCTGGTGGTTTTATAAGGGGCTTCCCCACCCTTCACTCTCATTCTTCTCCTTCCTGCCATCATGTGAAGAAGGACGTGTTTGCTTCCCCTTCTGCCATGATGGCTTCCCAAGCCATCCTGAACTGTGAGCTAATTAAACCTGTTCCCTTTATAAATTACCCAGTCTCAAATATGTCTTTATTAGCAGCATGAGAATGAACTAATACTGCAAACATCACCTTTATTTTCAAATCTTTATCACCCTAACCAGAAAAATATGAAGTCATAACTCCCATTCCCTCCATCCCTCAGCCCCTGGTAACCTCTAATCTGCTTTGTGTCTCTATAAATTTGCCTATTCTCGATATTTCAAATAACTGGAATCATACAATATCTGTCCTTTGGTGTCTGGCTTATTTCATTTAACATAACGTTTTCCAAGTTCACCCATATTGTAGCATATATCAGAATTTCATTCCTTTTCATAGCTAAATTATATTCTATTGCATGGCTATACCACACTTTTTTTTTCCAGTTAATTTAAGAAGTTTATTTTGCCAAGGTTGAGGACGCATCCGTGACAGAGCCTCAGGAAGTCCTGACGACATGTGCCCAGGGTGGTCAGGGCACAGCTTGGTTTTATATTTTTAGGAAGACATAAGACATCAATCAATATATGTAAGAAGTACATTGGTTCGGTCTGGAAAGGCAGGACAACTGGAAGCAAAGGCAGGAAGACTCAAAGCTTCCAGGTCACAGATAGGTGATACACAAAGGGTTACATTCTTTTGAGTTTCCAATTAGCCTTTCCAAAGGAGGCAAATCAGATGTGCATCTATCTCAGTGAACAGAGGAGTGACTTTGAATAGAATGGAAGGCAGGTTTACCCTCAGCAGTTCCCGGCTTGAGTTTTCCTTACTTTGGGGGCCCGAGATATTTTCCTTTCACTTCCTCCCCCACCACCCGGCCCCCACACTTTTTTTTGTTAAAATCTTTCGGAGAAAGCATTTTACAAGAAAATGAGTCTCTGGTCTCAGGCTTCATCTTATCCTTCATGGCTAGGATGCTTTATTCCTAGATGGGTAGGTCCCAAAAGCTCATTTTAGCAGATTGTGAAGTCTCATGTCCTGTGAAGAGAAAATAGCAGGGAGGAAGGGAGAAAAAATGACAAACGAAAGAACAATCCGGGAAAAATCGACATAGGCCACCTTACTCTGAAGTCCATACATTAGTAGGCAGATATGAAAGTGGTTTATGTATAGGTTGTATACCACACTTTTTTTATCTGTTCATTTTCTGATGAACATTTAGGTTGTCCCCACCTTTTGGCAATTGTGGCTAACACTGCCATGACCATATGTGTGCAGATATCTAAGTTCCTATTTTCAATTCTTTTGAGTATATACCTAGGAGTGGAATTGCTGGGTTATATGGTAATCTTATATTTAGCCTTTTGAGAAAATTCCAAGCTGTTTTCTATAGTGGATGCACCATTTTGAATTTCTACCCACAATTTACAAGGGTTTCAATTTCTCCACATCCTTACCAACACTTATTTTCCATCTTTAAAAATAAATATAGTAATTTTAGTAGGTGTGAAGTGATATCCCACTGTGTTTTTGTTTGAATTTCCCTAATAACTAATGATATTGAGCATTTTATTCAATGTGTTTCTATCTTTTTCTTGGAGAAATATCTATTTAGGTTCTTATCCCATTTTATAATTGGGTTGTTTGTTCTTTTTTTTTTTTTTTTTTTAACTAAGCATTAGGAGCTCTTTATATAGTCTAAATATCAAACCCTTATCAGAAATACTTTGTGCAAATATTTTTCCCCATTTTGTAGGTTATTGTTTTACTTTCTTGATGTCCTTGGATGCAGAAAAGTTTTTTTTTTTTATTTTGCGGAAGTCTGGTTTATTTATTTTTCTGTCTTAGTCATGCTTTTGATGTCTTATCTTAGAAGCCATTGCCAAATCCAAGGTTATGATTATTAACTCCTATGCTTTGTGCGTTAGTCCATTCTCAAGCTGCTAATAAAGACATACCTGAGACTGGGTAATTTATAAAGGAAAGAGGTTTAACTGACTCACAGTTCAGCATGACTGAGGAGGCCTCAGAAAACTTACAATCATGGCAGAAAGGGAAGCAAACACGTCCTTCTTCACATGGTGGCAGGAAGAAGTACTGAGCAAAAGTGGGGAAAACCCACTTTTAAACTACTTATTAAACCATCAGATCTAGTGAGAACTCACTCACTATCACATGAACAGCAGATAGGGGTAACTGCTCCCATGATTAAATTACCTCCTACTGGGTCCCTCCCATGACACATGGGGATTATAGGAACTACAATTCAAGACGAGATTTGGGTGAGGACACAGCCGAACAATATCACTTTCCTTTAAGAGTTGTATGGTTTCAGCTCTGGGGTGGTTGATCCTTTTTCCTAGGCACCTCACTCCTAACAAGGCACTCACTCTCAAGATCACGCAGTGAGGATCGATATCTGAGGGCAAGAGCCTCCTTCAATAGTCACCCTACTTGCCTCTCCCCAATGCCAGCCTGCCTCCCTTCCTCAGTGGAACCCAGATACATGGCAAGCCTCTCACAGTTTACCTGAACCAGGCACAGTGAGGGAGTGGAAGGGGAGAGGACGCTATTGTCAGAGACAATAAACACATGAAGTAGAAATGGGATGTGCCAGACCCCTACCATAGACTCAAGGGTGGCATGGGGGTCACTGAAGGAGATAGGAGCTCCCGATAACGCCTGATAAAGGACTGATGCTCAAGTGATCCTTTTGCGCCAACTAGGAAGACATGACAGACACCAAGAACAGCTCAGCCTGTGCTGGGAAGGATGAAAGAGAGTGGCCGAGGAGCTAATGCACCCTACAGCCAGGCCTCTAGATCTAGACCCCAGCCATGAAGAAATGTGGAGGTGAGGAGCTCCAGGTAGATGAAGAAACCAGAATTGGGTGTGACTGGCCTCACTTAAGAGAGATGAAGCCTTTGTGACCCAGTGAAATTGAAGCTCCAAATAGGAATTAAGTTCCATCATAGACAAATAAAGAAGGAACCATTGTGGTGTGAGATTCACACCATTCCTAAAGATGATCTCCATATGTGAACAGAACACATGAAAGTAACACGTTTTCTCTCAATTTTATTTCACATTCTACATCATTCATTTCGCTTAGGAAGAATAGCTGTTTTCTAGCCCATATTTTAGTTTCAGGGCAAACGTAAAAGCAAAACTTTTATTAAGATGAAGCAATTTCTTCAGCAGTGATTTTCACCTGTGTGTGACGTGGCCTTCCAGGGGAGATTTGGTGATATCTGAAGACATTTTTGGTTGTCAGAACTGTGGCGGAGGTGCTTACTGGCATTTAGTAAGTAGGTAGAGGCTGGGGATGCACAGGACAGCCCCCTGTGAAAAAGTCCACCCCAAAATGTCAATGATGCCACAGTTGAGAAGTCCTAGCGTACAGTGATGTATGTAATGATCTCTGTGCAGACGGAATATCACACATCATTATGCTTGGATTCAGCACATCATTATGGTGTAGAAAGACCATCAGACTACAAGACATGAGGCCCAGGTGCCCCTGACTAGCTAAAAGTCTTGGACAGACTACTCAAACATCAAGAAAGACTCATTCCCCACATTATAAAATGGACCTCATGAGTCCTGCCCTGCCTTCCTCTCAATGACTGAAATGAAAACTAAAAATGATGAAATTCCAAAAAGCATCTTTATAATAGTTATCAAGAGTGGAAAGAACAAGATCATGTCTGTTGCAGGAACATGGATGGAACTGGAGGTCATTAATCCTTAGCAAACTAATGCAGGAACAGAAAACCAAATACTCCATGTTCTCACTTAATAGGTGTGAAGTGATATCCCATTGCGTTTTTGTTTGAATTTCCCTAATAACTAATGATATTGAGCATTTTATTAAATGTGTTTGTACATTTTTATTGGAGAAATATCGATTTAGGTTCTTATCCCATTTTATAATTGGGTTATATATGAGAATTAATGGACACAGGGAAACCACAGACACTGAAGTTTACTTGAGGGTGGGGGGGGAAGAGGGAGAGAATCACTAAAAGTAACTACTGGGCCCTAGACTTAGTAAAAGGGGGACAAAATAATCAGCACACCGAACCCCTGTGACATGAGTTAACCTATATAACACATGTACCCCTGAACACAAAATAAAAGTTAAAAAAAGTAAGAAATTCTCCAAGTTATTCCAAACACTCTAGCAGGAGCCCAATTTCCCAGCCCAGACTGACTTTCTTCTAGATGTCTGTGTTATTCACATTGAGTAACAATAACTACTGTAACAAACAGCACCAACAATAATGGTTTGGCACCATAACAGTTTATAGCTTGCTGAAGGAACAATCAAACTTGGTTGGGTGGCTCTCCTAGATGACATTTTTAGTGAGTAATAACTTGGAGACCATGACTTCTCCCTCCCTCTTTTCCTTCCTCACTCCCTTCCTTCCTCCTTTCCCTCCTTTCTTCCTTCTTTTTCCTCTTCCATCCCCAGAGCCTGGGAATTTTTTGATTCCAGATTCATAGATGGGGGAAACAGTGTGGAGGCTCATAAAGGAGGTTTTCATGGGGGGCAGAGCCAGAGGGGACCTCAGTGCATCTTCTTGCTTTTCATTGGCTGACCTCAGTCACATGGCCCTGCCTGACTGCAAGAGAGGCTGGGAAATGCAGTAAAACTATGAGCTGAGGACAACAGGAAAATGGGTTTGGTGAGCACATAGTGGCTTCTTCTACAGCATCCTCTTCACCACATGCAGATTTGGGCTGTATGGGATTCTGAGTGATGGAGATTTGGGAGTTTACCTTTCATAAGGAACACATACTTTTCTTGAGACCATTATACCTCCCCCAGGTCAGACAATAAAAATGCATCAACCCCAGAGCTTGTCTTCCAGAGTGCAATTCTCTTCTTTCATTCAGCGAGGATTTATGCAGTGCCTGTTATGTAGCACCAGGAACTGTGCTAGATGCTGGGGATACAGCAGTAAACCAGCAACTGTCCCTGTACTTTTAGCAGTTGCAATCTAGTTGATATAGGCTGTGAATAAACACATTATAAACAAACAAGCCAACATATCCTTAAAGGCAATCAGCAGTACAGGTAATAACCAATCTTTACTTTAACAGAGTTTGGACCAAGTGTCAGAGGTTAACTGACCTGGGTTAATCAGGTTTTTATCTTCTGGGAATTTGAAGTGGAGACTTAGAACCACTAGTCTGCCACTATTGGCACTGAACTGAGACCTTGCTGGAAGCTGGGGCTGGCATGTTTTGTGCTTGTGCAGAGATGCCGAGAAAGTTCTTCCATAGAGGGGAGAATAAAGCAAATGAGAAGCAATCAGGTTAAGAGAGAAAGAGAATATGAGAGAAACTGCTTTGCTTCTGAGGATTTCATTTATTCTCAACCTCGGTTAGCTTTTTTTCTCTTTGCGTTCCGTGAGAACACTTCCTTCCTTCCACTAACTTCCCATTTTTGCTTGAGTATGTTCAACCAATATTTCTTCTTCTCAGTTGAAAAATCTCTGCTTATTTTTTCCTTCTCCTGGGTGGTTCATCATCTATTTATTTTGTAGCCAAATGACTGATTATCTCCTTTGGGACACAAAGATGAACAAGACTTGGTTGCTGCCCTCAAGGAATTAGCATTACAGCCTTCTGTCAATTGCAGGAGGAGAATTTCAGGCAATAATTCTTTCCGGTGGCTTACACATGTATGAGGCCTACAGTCACATCATCTGCTAACTTGGTAAAGGTCTCTCCAGAAACAGTGTCTCCCTTGACTCAGGAACAGTTAACAAGACACCAGCCAGGTCTACAGCTTGGTCACCGAATGAAGACCACATAAACAATTTGAAAAGGTGCAATTTTTCAAAGGGGAAAAAATTCAAATTGATGAATCTTGCTAGGCCTAACATTTACCCTAGCATGCATTATTACTTATGTTAGGACACCAGTCTAGATATAGAATCACAGATCTCAAACTGACAACAGATACGTGATGAAATATTAAATTTCACCAGTAGTAAGATAAAAACAACATAACAATAACTTATCATGTTTCACCTAGCAAATTAGCAATTTTTATTTCTTTGTTTTTAACAAATTGACATGTTCAGTTTGGGGGCGGGGTTTGAAAAAATAGATGAGACCAAAAACTGCGATGAAATCAGAATACTGTTGAGAATTTATCTACCAAAAGAATCAATCATTTGAAAAGGCTTCAGTGCGGCAAATCCATTGCAAGCAATTTTTTTTTAGGGAGATCACAGGAGAGCTCAAAATTTTAACTACAAGCTGTTCATTGCAACGATATTTGCAATGGTAAAAATGGAAAAAGCCAAATGTCTAACAATGAGGAATTACTGAATCAATTATGACACCTTCAGAAAATGGACTGTTCAATGATTATAGACTGATGCTATAAAAGCTCGATGACATGGAAAGATGCTTATGATGCATTTGTGAGTGAGAAAATGAGAGCATAATGTACCATGGAGTATATGATGCTCGGTTTGAAAAAATAGTTATCGGAAAAGCACACAAAGAATGAACATTAAAATACACATAATGGTTACCTCCAGGTGGTAGGCATAAGATTGGTTTTCAGTTTGCTCTTTCTAAAAAATTTAAATGAGAGTGTATTATGCTTAGCATTCTGCTGGATATCGGTAAATCACTAAATGGATGATTCCTTTTGATATTATTATTCAGTTCTACAATTGAATGGAATAAATAGCTTCTCAGGTTTGTTATTGTAAGCAAACACAATCATAAAGCACCTGGTATACAGTAGGTTTTCAATAAATCATATAGAAGATGCTCCTCTTCCTTTTTTATTTTTATTTTTTTGCAGGGGAGAGGATTATGTACCACAGAGGTTATGAATGGGAATTTCTCAGTCAAAAGGTATTTAGATTCAAATACTGCTACTTAGCCATTTGCACACTGATCAAGAATGTATGCAAGTTAATAATGCTTTGAACTTTTTTTTCATCTGAAGATGGAGAAGGCAATAGCTAAATGATGATTATTGTGAACATATAAGGCTCTGTATATAAATCACTTACCACATGGGGGGTTAAGGAATAGTCTATGTTCTTTCACCATATCATGTGAAAGGAATATGTATTAGATTTATAATATGAACAAGGTGCAACTTTAAGCATAAGATATGCATAGATCTTAAAAGTATTCAAAGTCCTTCCTTCATCTCGCTGCTACTCAGTAGAGTAGAAATGCATGTGGCATAGAGCTAGGCTACCACCAGTTTCAGCAAAAAAAGAAAAAGAAGAGTCTAGAATGAGCTTGCAACCATCAGAAGTTGACAGAGGGAGAGAGAGAAAAGAAAGAAAATCCTTTTCAATGAAAGGAATACAGCATAAAGCTTCTTCTTCAGCAAGGCTCCAACCTAGGACAGGAAAGGTGTTGGAACCATGAGTCTTACCAAGTTGACTAGAATTTGCTTTTGCTATTTCCCAAATCCCCCAAGAATCTCAAGAACAAAGCCAGCTCAAATAGCAAGCTGCCATCATTTCAATGGGTAAAGAGGTTATTTGCAAGTAAAATGTGTCATTAGATATATTGTTAAAATGGGCATTATATATGATGGATACACACACATAGATTTCCAAGCTACCATTATTTCTTGCCTGAGTTACTGAAATGCCTCCTCATAGTCTCACTGTTTCTGCCCTTGCCCAGATACAGTTTGTACTGAATACAGAGAAATTCTGTTTAAAAAATTTAAATTGTTTCATTCCTCTTCTCAAAACCCTCTAATTACTTCCATTTTCCTCAAAGTAAAAGCTGCAATCAGGCAACATCTTGATCTTTCCTCACTTTTCATGGTCAAAAAAGCTACCATTTGTTGAGGGTTGCTGTGTGAGAAACACTGTACATGTGTTTCTGTACATGATTATGAATGCTCATAATCAATATATTCTCATGATCATCCCCATTTTTCAGAGGAGGAAATTGAGTTTAGATTAGTCAAGTCGCTTGCTCAAGGTTAAGAAGTGGGCCGGGCACGGTGGCTCACGCCTGTAATCCCAGCACTTTGGGAGGCCGAGGTGGGCAGATCACAAGGTCAGGAGTTCGAGACCAGCCTGACCAACATGGTGAGACCCCGTCTCTACTAAAAATACAAAAATTAGCTGGGCGTGGTGGCTCGTGCCTGTAATCCCAGCTACTCAAGAGGCTGAGGCAGGAGAGTAGCTTGAACCCAGGAGGCGGAGGTTGCAGTGAGCCAAGATTGTGCCACTACACCCCAGCCTGGGTGACGGAGCGAGACCTGGTCTCAAAAAAAAAAAAAAAAAAAAAAAGAAGTGGCAACAGCAAGACTCAAGGCTATAACTGTCTGGCTCCAAAATCTGAATTTTAGTCAGTTACAGTCAGCCTTCCATATCCATGAGTTCTGCATATATGGATTCAACAACACCTAGATAGAAAATATATGAAAAAATATTGCATCTGTACTGAACATGTACATTTTCCCCTGTATCATTATTCCCTAAACTATATAGTATAACAACTATTTATATTACATTTACATTATTTTAGACATTATAAGTAGTCTAGAGATGATTTAAAGTATACAAGAGGATGTGCATATATTTGCATATATGCAAATACTATGGCTATTTTATATCAGGAATTGAGAATACTCAGATTTCGCTATCTGAGAGAGGTTCTGGAACCAATCACCCACAGATATAGAAGGACAACTGTAATTCATCAACAATTCCTCAAACTAGGTCGTTAGAGTGGATGCAAACTTTAAAAATCTATTGCATTTATAAGCGCCACCACAGGACATCTGATTTAGTAGGTGTAAATGGAGTAAATATTTTAGATCTTTATAAAGCTCCCTAAGTGAGTCTGAAACACAGCCATATTTGGGAACCCTTCATGTATTACTTACTTCTATCTCCATGACAGCCATGTCAAAATGATGTTATCATTCACTTCCTGCAGATGAAGACATTAAAGCTCAGAGGATCACTGTGCTAGTAATCTTCCATTTCCCTCACCCAACCTTTCTAGCTTGAACCATTCTTTACCCATCTCAACTCTGCTGTGAGCCACAGGAGGCTGACCTATAAGGACTGCATCAATGGACTCATTTGCTCCCTTATTTCTGGTTGCATTTGACCAATGGGAGACACTTGCAGGACATCGGAGGACAGGAAGAGAGAGAAGCCAGGTGTTTTGTCTCCCTGGTCCCTGTCCATCTTATTGCAGTTTGGCAGTGACTGTATTTCTCCATAGCCACAGCTCCTGCTGGGTGGTTGTTCCTCCATAATTCCAACTCTGGTCAGTCTGCTAATGCTGTCCCCTCCCCTTTTCCCGTCAGATTTTGTGTTGGTGATGGTTGTCCACTGTTGTCATCTCCTGGGTAGGTCACCATCTCTTATGGGTTCTCTTAACCATGTGCACACTCTGTAGAAGTCCCTGCATTAACCTCTCTTGAGCTAAGTCTGAGCTATCCGTCTATTTCCTGCTGGGACTCTGACAGAGTCACGTACCCAGGAAGGGAGAGGGATGAATCTGAACCTGGGTCTGTCAGTCAAACCTCATATTCCCTCTTCAGGTACTAGATGATCTTTGTATCAGTCCCTTTTATGTTACTTATGTTACTTATAACAGAATGCCTGAAACTGGGTAATTTATAAAGAAAAATATTTTGTATCTCACAGTTCAGGAGACTGAGAAGTTTAAAGTTGAGGGGCTGGATCTGGTGAGAGCCTTCTTGCTGTGGGGGACTCTGTCTGCAGAGTCCGGAAGTAGCTCTGGGAATCACATGGTGAGGGGGCTAAGCATGCTTTGGTGCTATCTCAGGTCTTTCTTCCTCTGCTAATAAAGCCACCAGCTCCTCTCTCTTGATAATCCATTCATTCTTTAACCCATTAATCCAGGAGGAGGCCTCATGATCCAATTACCTGTTAAAGGCCTCGGCTCTCAATACTGTCACGTTGGGGGTTAAGTTTCAACATGAGTTTTGGAGGGGATATTCAAACCAGAACAATCTCTAAGGACAATTCTAGGTCTGGTTGTTTATAAATCTTGCTGTCACATTCCTCTAGAATTCCATGTTCAAAATTCACATTGGATCTTTGCAAGTTTTTACTTAGGATCCTTTACATGAAGTCTCTTTTTATTTTAGCCTGATGAGAAAACTTAGGGAGTGACAGTTTGGAGAAAACTCCTGGATCATGCCTCCAAGTCTCAGAGAAGTCCGAGGACCTGCTAGATCCAGACTTGACCATAGGTGTCTTGCCTGCCAACTGTAACTTCTGCACTTTCTCTCAGTCCTGGGGAGGGGGTACAGGACAGACCCAAGGCAACTGAGTTTGATTCAGACAAGTCCAGGAGAGCTGCCAGAAGTGGACAGACTTCCCAAAATGAGGGCATTTATTATTTAAACATTGATTACTCTGTTTAAATCATACAGATGGAAAAGGTTTTCCATTTGTAAAAAGTCATTTTTTAATGGCAGATCAAATGTGGCCGACATTTTGCTGGACCACAAGTTCTCATGGATGCCAAAGAGGTCTGAGTTCAGCCTACCAGAGTAGAACAGAAAAGAACCTGTTTAGGACAGTGCTGAACCCTACCTTTCCCATAAGACAAATGGATTTAACAAGCTTCATTAGCTCCCTGTATCAGTCAGTGTCCTACCAGGAAAATAGAAATCATTCTATATCTTTCACATAAAAGGAATTTACTATAAAGAATGGATTACCCAGGTGATGGAAGAGTATAGAAGACATTTAACGGTGAGGCAACCCGAGAGATTAGCAACAGCAGTTAAGATAGTAATGCCCTTAGGCTGGAGGAACAAGGAGGGGAGTTAAGAGTTAACTGGCAGGAATTAAATCCATGGCAAGGGCTGTTTTGCAAGAATTGGAACCAAGAAGAGAAAGTCTTCATCAAAGTATGTCACAGGACAGCTCAGATTCCAGGGAAGAAGAAATAGACCCTGTGTCTTGAAGTGTGGCATAATATCCACAGATAAGGAAGAAAGGAATTGATGGTAGCTATCTTCGGAGACTCAACCATAATATATATTTAGAATTATGACATTGTCTTAATGAATTGATGTTTTTGACCGTTTTATCATTATAGTATGCTCCTATTCCTCTCTAATAACACTCCATGTTTTGAATTCTACCTCATCTGGTATTAATATAGCCGCCTTAGCTTTTCTGTGGTTAGTACTTGTATATCTTTTCCATCTTTCAACCTATCTTTGTACTTACATTTATGGCCCATCTCTTGTAAATGCAATATAGTTGGGTCTTGCTTTTTCATTTGGTCCAACAATCTCTGTCTTACAATTTCAGTGCTTAGTTCATATTATTCATTATAATTATTAATATGCCTGGGTTTAAGTCTACCATCTTGTTATTTGTTTTCTATTTATCCTAGCTGTTTTTCTCACTCTTTTCCCCATTCCCTTCCTGTCTTCTTTCTTACTATTTTTGGTACACCATTTTAATTTTCTCTATTGTATGTTTAGTGCTTGTCTTGAGAATGATAATATGCACCCTTAGTTTATAGTGTAATCAGAATTACTATTTGACTTATCACCCAGAATTAATTTTAACATACTGCTTCTCATCTAATGTAAGAACCTTATAACAGTACACTTGTATTTACTTCTCATGTCCTTTGTGCCATTGTTAGCATTTATCTTACTTTTATAATCCCACAACATATTGTCATTATGTTTGCTGGAAACAATTGTTTTTTTAAAGAAGTTAAAAAAAAATGTTAAAAGCCATTTCTATTTATTCATATGTTTGCCATTTCTGGCATTCTTCATCTTTTTGTGTAGATCTAATTTTCTGTCTAAAGAACTTCCTTTGGCAATTCTGATAGATGGAACGGCTGGTGATTAATTATTTTGTTATTTTTACTTTTGTTTTATCTTTGTCTTAATTTTTGAAGGATATTTTCAATGGATATGGCATTTTAAGTTAACTCTTAATTCTAACGCAGTTCCCTGTATGTAATGTGTCCTTTTCCTTATTTTCAGTTTTCAACAATTTAACTATCATGTAACTAGCTGTGTGTGTGTGTGTGTGTGTGTGTGTGTGTGTACGTGTTCCTCTTTCTTTGGGTTTGTTGAGATTCTTAGACCAGTGGATTAATATTTTTAATCAAATTTAGAATATTTGAAGAATATTTCTTCAAATATTGTCTCTACCTAAATTTCTTTGTTTCCTTCTTTTAGTATGTCAAGCACATATATTTAGATTGTGATATTGTCTTTAGGCCTCCAAGAATCTGTTAATGTTTTTCAATTTTTTTCTTTTTGTGTGCTTTAGTTTGAATAGTTGGTATTGATCCATCTTCAAGTTCTGTAATCTTTTCTTTTGCAGTGTCCAATCAGATATCAAACCCATTTGGTGAAATCTGTTTAAACTTTAGATACTATATTTTTCCGTTCTTGTCATTTCCTTTTGATTCTTTTCAATCGTTTCCATTCTTCTGTTGAAATTCCTCATCTCTTCACTCATTTTTTATCTTTTGTTATTTCCTTGAACATATTTATAATAGATGTTTTAAAATCTTATGTACTAGTTTCAACATCTATGTCCCCTGATTATAGTTCTATTGTCTTTTTCATCTTGGTTAAAGGTCACACATCCTGTCTTTTCTGTGTCTAGTAATTTTTTATTGCCTTTTGGAAACTGCTGAGTCTATTTTGCTAAAAATCTGAATGATTTTTTGCTTCTTTTAAAGAGAATTTAGTTTTCCTTTGCAGGCAGTTAATTTACTAGATGCTGAGGCTGATCTTAGTGGTCTCTTTAGGCTTTATTGTGATAGGTGAGAAGTAGCCCTTCCTCTAAGGCTAGACTAGTTCTACTCCTAAAGCAATAACTTTCTGAGGGTGTCAAATTATGTCTGGGTTATTCAACACACTGTCTTCCCTCTTCCTTGTGAGAACTCCAATGTCTCCTAGCCACCCGTAACCTCTGAGATCTCTCACTCACAGCACCTCCCACTTCTTTCGCCCCAGCAGTGGCTGTTCAGGCTAAGTTTCAGAGCCCTACCTCACACATGCACAGTTGAGTATTTGGCCAAAACTGAAGGGGATCCCCATGCAAATTTCTGCTGTTTCTTATCAGAGCAGCTTCTCCTTTCTGCTGTCCTGTCCCACTAATTCCAGCTGCATCTGCAGCTCCAAACTCCAATCTCTACTTCTTATACACAGCTACTGTCCATGGTGGCTCAACTTCTCTGTGCTGCAGGTAAAAAGCTGGGGTGAAGATGGAGCCAGCCTTCTGTGTTCTCTTCTCTCAAAGATCACAGCTCTGTGCTGTCTGCTGTCCAATGTCTGAAAACAGTTGCTTCATATATTTGTTTATGAGAGAGGGTGTGTCTGGTATTAGTTACTCCACGGTGGCTGGAACCAAAAGTCTCACAAAGTTTGGAAAATAGAAAGGTATAATGCTTATGAAACCTCATGTATACAATAAGTGGTTAATAAATAGTAGTGAATATAACTTTACATTTAAATTTAAATTTTTATTACACATTAAGCTGTCTTACTAAACTATAGATTCTTCAAGTTAAAGACTGTGTGTTAATCATTTTTACATCTCCAATACCTAGAAGAAAAAACCTGGCATGCAATGACTTTCAACAAACATTTTTCTTAATCTGAGTAAACTAAACCAAGAAAAGAGCTGATAAGATACCACTTTAAATGTGAAGACAGAGTTCAGGAAGTCTAATTGTCAATCAGTTCTTGGTACTCATTTGGAACCCATTTTGGTGTTAAATCCAAACTAGTTCAGTATTCCAGGAACCGTTGTTCACATATTTCTTCATTTCGAGTGTATTTCAGTAATTTGCAGACTTCTCCTCACTGTCAAGACCTTTGCCAGGGTTGGGACAGACAGGTGAAATAACATGTAAATTTCAGTGATCCTAATCTTCTCAATACTTGTATCAGAGATGCTGCAAATACATGAAAAATACTTTGATAAAAATCCAGTGCGGATGAGTCTCTTGAGTGATAAACAGACCTCGGGAATTCCGAAAATGGGAAACAATGGATATATTGGGAAGTGTAAAGGGATGGATAAAGAGGTAAGTTGCTGGCTGCATCAGGTTGTATAGAGCTTTGCATTTCACATCAAGGAGTTCAGGCACTTTTGGGAAGGGGTATAACAAGCCTTTGAAAAATTTTTGTACAGCAAAGAGATTGAGTTTAATGTCATATATATTCATTTTCACCTGAATGTACTACCTCAAGAGTGTAAAGGGGACAGCAAGAAAGCTGGAGAAAGAGAACCCAGAAGAGACAAGTGGAAAGTTCAGGTTGCACAAATGCCTGCTGAAGAATCCATTTGAACTGGAGATGGGCATCCACTTATTTTTTTTTATTTTATTTCCATAGGTTATTGGGGAACAGTGGTGCTTGGTTACATGAGTGAGTTCTTTAGTGGTAATTTATGAGATTTTGTTTCACCCATCACCTGAGCACTATTCACTGCACCCAATTTGTAGTCTTTTATCCCACACCTCCTTCCCACCCTTTCCCCTGAGTCCCCGAAGTCCACTGTGTCATTCTTATGCCTTTGCATCCTCATGGCTTAGCTCCCACTTGTGAGAAGATGTGATGTTTGGTTTTCCATTCCTGAGTTACTTCACTTAGAATCATAGTCTCCAATCTCATCCAGCTTGCTGTAAGTGGATAGCCATCCATTTCCGATCCTCTGTTCCTGGGCTTCCGACTTACACTCTTTCCTTCCTGGGCATCTATCTCAAAGCAGGACCATGACATTCAACAGGACAAGTTTGTCATTTGGAGTAATCAGAGGCCACCACCTCGTTTCTGATTTGGCCCTTTTTGTGGTCACATTTGGCCTCTCAATGTATAACATCAAGAGAGAGGGTCTCTTTAATTTCTCATGCTCTTAATCCTGAACAATTTTCTTTGACTCTGCTTAAACATCAAGCCTTGAATTTCTATTAACTTCTAGGACTTCTAATCTGCTACTTGCTTCCTTGTCTCGACCTCACCTGAAACGGTTCTTCTTGGGTCCCCATCCTTATACCAATTCAGTCTTCCTGCCTTTCACTGGATCTCCCTCTGCACCCCTTCCTTTTGGCACAGATTTGACCTAGGTATTCTAGTCATAGCATAAACTTTTAGAGAATAGGTGCTTCACTCCTTTCTACCCCCTCACCAATTTATCTCATCTCTCTAAGTAGGATCCCATTGACTAACCTCAGTAAAGCAAGACAACTCTTGGGTTAAAATCATGGGTTTCAGAATTAGGCCTGGGTTCAAATCTTAGCTCTGAAAATGTTTTACTTGAGTGATGTTGTCCAGAACGTTTCAGTGTTTTTAGCTTCAATTTCTATATCTGAAAAGTGGGAGAAAATAAGGTCTTCTGTGGGATTAAGTGAGATATTAAATATAAAGCATCTAATTCAGTGCTAAGTCAATATTGTTCTTCAAAAACTCCTCCTTCCTTTTGCATCTTGGGTAAGAAAATAACAGCTTTAGCTGCGTGTCTTTCTTTGCTAGGTTTTGGAGAGTTTTAATTAATGTTTAGAAAATCTAGACATGCTGTCTATGTTGGTCTATCTATTGTCCAAATGAATGACTTACTGCTTAACTTCTCTCGGTTAAGGTTCCTAAAACCTCATTCCCTCCCCTCAGGCCTTTGTCTCCAGCTGGTAGAAGTCAAAACAAACCACAAAAACAATGGAATTTTTTTCTAGGATTGCTCAATGCCATCCAATTGTGCCTGAGGCCCCAGGCAGTGCTGTTGATGCCACAGCAGACATGCAACATATCTCCATCCAGAGGACGATCATTTATAGGTACTCTCTGGAATCTTCCTGGTTTCTTTGATGAAATGGTTTCCTAATCCACTGTCCTCTAGATGTACTGTCAATATTTCCATAACTATCTCCTATAATTATCCATATGGCAGGGAGTCAACATTCATTGAGGATCTATTATTTGCCAGACATTGGACTCAGCCCTTAGGTAGACTGATAGATTACGTCTTTGATTCTTCACTCCAGTCCTATGGGATTTTAGCAAAACTGAAGCTCAGAAAACATCAGTTGTTCCCCCAAAATCAATTGCTGGAAACTGGTGGATGCAGATTGAAACCAAGTTCTGTCTGCTTTAATCAGCCTCTGCCATTTCCTTGCAAAGACCTTGAACTTCCAAAGTGTCCATTGTATTGGGAACTAATCAACCATGTTATAATAATTTTATTATTTTTTAAAGCAGTTAGTTTCCATAGCCTCCTTTCCCTCTCTCCCCCTGTATTCATTCTTTTATAGAACATTCGATACATGCAGACTTTGAAAGGAAAAATGAACCTAAAAGCTCCAGTGAAGTGAAAATGCTAAGGCTTCTTCGAAACTTAAGTAGCATTAGAAGCAATTACATTTGTGCAAATGCAGAAAGGCTTGTTGCTATTTCTGATTCCCCCACACCCCAGGGCAGTAAACTGGGAGGAAGGCTGTTAACTATTCCAGAGCACAGAGCTCCAGGCAGCAAGACCTAAGCTTTTTTTTTTCCCTCACCTTCTATTGTCAATGTAAGATGGCACTCCTCTTTTCAAAAGTAAACCAGTGTATGCTAATTAAAATAAATTAGTGTTTTTATCTCAAAAGATGCTTTTATGGGAACACGGTTACATGGCAATTCTAGTGCAGACTTACACTATCCATCCATTAAACACATGCTCACACATAAAATGTAACCTCAAATCTTTGCATTTAATTACAGCTTTTTTTTCTTTTTATTTCATAGGGGCATCTGTTAATGTAAACCCAGTATTGTTTTTACAAACACATACAAGTACATAGCTAAAAGGTGGGGATGAAAGGCTGATAAAAAAACGAGGCAGCATGAGATGCATTTTCAAATGTATGAAGATGTAAATGATATCATTCCATTAAAAAAGCAAAACTTGCTAAAAAAAATGCAAGGTCTAAGGGAAAGAAAAAATTTTTGCCCAACTAACTTTTTTTTTCAGTTATCTTTTTACTGCATTGCAAACTACCCCCAAATATAAGAGCTTAAAATGACAATTTAAATATTCAGCAATAAAAAAGAATAAAATCATTGTCATTTGAGGCAATACGGATGGAACTAGAGGATGTTATGTTAAGTGAAACAAGCCAGGAACAAAAAAATTAAACATTGTGTGTTCTTATTCATATGTGGAAGCTAAAAAAGTTGATCTCATAGAAGTAAAAGTAGACTACAGGATACTAGGGGCTGGTAAAAGTAGGAAGAAAGGAGGGATATTGGAGAGATTTGTTAAAGGGTACAAAATCACAGCTAGATAGGAAGAAGTTCTAATGCTCTAAAGCACGGTAAGGATGACTATAGTTAGTAACAGTATTAGATAATTTCAAATAGCTAGAAAAGAGGATATTGAATGTTCCCAACTCAAATAAATTATAAATGTTTGAGATGAGGATGAATATGTACAATTATTGTCAATCAAAAAAATTTTGATCAGAAAATTGATCAAATAATTTTCTGTTGAAACAGAAAGGAGGGGTTGGATTTATCGCCCTGCCTATAATCTCAAGTTCACTCAGAGGAATAATAGCTATTGATTTTTGAATTGGTGATATGTCCCAGGCTTTTACCAGATGCTTTAATACATTATTGTACATAATCTAGAGAAAAATCTGAGAAGTAGGTATTATGTCCATTTTCCAGAAAAAGAAAATTTGTCAATCAGAAAAAGATGAGAAATATGCTATGTACCCCATGAATATGTACAATTATTATTTGTCAATCGAAAAAACATTAATTACAACTTATTCTTTCTCACAGTTCTGCAAGCTGGGCTGGGCTCAGATGGGCAGTTCTTCTGTTCAGCATGGCAACTGCTGAGACTGGAATGTCCAAAGTGTATGTGGAAACTCTCATGACCAGTGCTGTGGGTGGGAAGGCTGGAACAGGTGGGGCCTACTTGAGCATTGCTCTCTCTCCCCACATGGCCTTTCTCATAGATACCCTGGGCTTTATATCACAGAATGGTGAGCTTGAGGTCACTGAACTTCTTAAATGATGCTGCCTTCAAAGAGGCAGAAACTGCTAATCATATTAAGCCCCGGATCCAGAAATCTTAGAAGGTCATTTTCTCACATTGTGTAGGCCAAGGCAAGTCACCAGGCCATCCTGGGGTCAAGGAGAGGAGGGCAGAGTCCACCATTGCAGTGGGACAGCACGCATGTACAGATGGGGAGGAACGCATGGTGACCATCTTCGAAGGCTCTGCACCACACAGGAGTTAGCAGGCTGCTTTATAACTGTTTCAAAGACACAGTTCTGAGTAGTGGACTATTCTCCAGCAATGAAAATGAATGAACTACAGCTACATGTGAGAGCATTGATCAATCTTTCAAACATCACAATGATTAAAAAAGACAGAAATAATACACACTGTATGATTCATTTTATGAAGTTTAAATCTATGCAACTGTACACTACATTGTTAATTGGTACATAGATAGGTGGCAAAATTTATTAGGAAAGCCTGGAAGATAATTATCATAAAAGTCATAGTAGGGGTCATCTCTAGGTTGAATGTAGGTGGATGTAATTGGGAAGTGACATGGAAGGCTTCTGGGTGCTGGTAATATTTTTTTTCCTTGACCTAGGTGATAGTTGCATGCACACTTGATTTAATCATTAAATTGATCATTTATGCATATTTTCTATTTGTAGGTTCTATTTCTAAATTTTAAAAAATGTTAAAAGTACCTTTTGGCTAAATTTGTTTGGCATATGCATACTTAATGTGTGCAGTTCAAAACTCTAACTGCGTTGAAACAAAAAAGTGGGGTTGGATCTACTGCCCTGCCTATAATCTCAAGTTCACACATAGGAATAACAGCTATTGATTTTTGAATTGGTGATATGGCCCAGGTTTCTACCAGATGCTTAAATACATTATTGTACATAATCTAGAGAAAAATCTGAGAAGTAGATATTATGTCCATTTTTCAAAAAAGAAAACAATATCTTGGTAAGGGCAGCTGCAAGGTCACACAACACTCAAACCCAGTCTGTCTGACTCTACACTTCCTCCTTAAAAAAGCCCTTGGCACAGGGGTCCTGAACATGAGCACATTTCACCCATCTCCTGTGCTCTAGCCGGTCTAATCCAGATCAGGCAGCACCCAGGTCACCATCAGCACAAAAGCCCAATTGTTCAGGTTCTGTTCTCACTAAGGATGTGGCCCATTGCAGCCAATGGGGGACTTGGCCAAGCGTCAGGCACTGATGGAAGACTCCTCTCTTGGCTGCTGGCTGTTGACAAGCTAAGTGGCTGCCTCGGTCACGCCAGGATGTAATAAAGCTGCCCGGCACCCAGGATCTGCCGACGAAGAGAGTGCAAGGGCAGTGGAAAGAGACAGCCTCCAAATTCCAGGAATCACATGGTGTTTATTCTGAGGCCGGCCTCCCATCACCCACTCCACTGGAAGCTGCTGTTGTCTGGAAGGGCTCAGGCTGGAGAGAATCCAGATTAAATAATAGTGTAATAAGGAGCACGTCTCTGTTTTGGTTTTTATAGACTGTGCCATTTCAAAGGGACAAGAGCAAAGTCTTCAAGGGCACTTATTGGGGTCCACTGAACCATGATCTAATTAAATCCACTGGAGAAAAATATCTTGTTTAAAAAAAGGGAGGTCTGCATTGTTTTTTGGAGAAATTAGTTAGTCTTAAGATGGCACTTATTTTTGTGGGTACTAGAAAAACACAGACTGAATACTATATTGTTATTAGCAATTTCAAGAGGATGGGGCACAGAGAGGGACATTCTCAGTAACGACAATGCTCACATTGACAAAACTCTTTGAAATTCATTATTGTGTTCTGCTCTCCCAACTGCTCCATAACATGAGGGGTCAGTTATCATTAGCTTCATTTTAAAGATGGAATTAAGAATCAAAGAGGATCTTTTCTAAAACTTATGCTTAGAAATCGAATTATTTTCTCATTTCTTCACATTCAAAATTAAGGAAGAGATTTTGAGAAATGAAAGTTATGCTAATAGTAATACAAATACCATTGATAATATTAAGATGAAGAAGAAGGAGCAAGGGAAGGAGGAGGAGGAAGAAGAAAAGGAGGAGGAAGGGTATGGTGAGGAGAAAAATAAAAGAATGAAGGAGTTGTAAAATGAAGAAGAGGAAAACGTAAGAATAAATAGTAATGTTTATTGAGCACCTACTGTGTGTAATGAATTGTGTGAGGTTCTTTCTTACCTAATCTTCCCTTGGAAAATTTGTCCCTCTGCAGTCCCAGAGGGGGCTGCCATACCTTTCCTCTGTGACCACATGTTGGATTCCTGGCCCAGGCTAAGCCAATTCAATTTCTTTGCCCTGGGAATTTGGAATGAGAGATTCTGAGATAATGACTGGGCACTGCTAAGGTTTGAACCACCTAATGCTGAGACTAGCACTGCCAAGTCTGGGGAGATTTTTAATAGGGCAAATAATACTCATCTACAAAGAAAGAAAAGAAAACAGGAGACACTGAAAAAAAACAAAAAAAGTGGATAGGAGACTCCCAGAACACCCAAAAGAAAAGATCGAGGGAATGCCAGGCCCTTGTAAGGCTCAAATATATTTCCTCCTTCAAGCGATTTGAGAGCTTTCTAGACCTTTGCAATAAATGTCTTCTTACTTGAGTTAGAGTGGGTTTCTATCTCTCAGAACCAAATGATTAAGGCATCATCTCTGAGCCATTCATCAAGTTACCCAGGTTTTACTATTTGACAGAAAAAGCAACTGAAGCACAGTGTGAATAAGCTATATGCCCAGAGTCGCATCGTCAGCACCGCAGAACTGGGACAAGAATCAAGGTATCCTGGCGCCTAAAATCTCTTCCCTGCTAAAGGTGGTGGCTGAGGAAATATACAGCAGTTTGTACTCACATTCCTACTATTTGGCCACTTATTCTTTGGTTGCCAACAAAAAAACAAATTCCTATTCAAAGTCATGTAAACATTTTTTGAAGGAGTTTATTTCTCATGTAAACTTAAGAAGAATATTGGAGAAATATAATTAGCTTTAGTCATGACTGCACTCAGGCACTTAAACCATATTGTCAGAACCTATAGTTATCCTTCGATCAGCTCTATTTCCTCTTAGTTGGCTTCATTCTGAAACTGGCCAAGATGGCTGCATATAAGCTCCAGGTTTATATCTTTCTAGGTTATCAGTCTTGGCTGGACAAAGAAAGTCACTTTACTCATAATTCTCCCAGACCTCTGAGAAGTGACTCTCATTGCGTGAATTCAAGTCACATGTTCATTCCTGAGCCAATCACTAACCAGAAAAAAATGGCATGCTCTGATTGGTCAGAATTGTCATGTGCCCATTCTCAGCGCCAAAGGCGATAATCAGCTGACATTTCCCATATGGCTTGAGAATAGGGGAAGGGTGATAGTTCAAAGGGAACACTGCGGGGTTTTACCCAAAGAAAGGAAAGTGGATTCGAGAGGATAAAAGCAATAGCCATCCAATACATGCTTGTTCAATCAGCTCCTATCATTGTAAAACATTTTCTAGAATTCTCATTTGGCTCAGTGGGATGGGTCGGGGATTTTAGAAATTACACAATTGTAGACTTTTTGAAATCAATGAGCTCATATTCCTCATTTTACAGTTAAGAAGTTAAATGACTTGCCTCAGGCACACATCTGTTGAGAAACCGAGCGGGGCTTGCTCTTGATACCCAGGGCTGGGACACCAGGCTGGCCGTGCACCTTAGAGTCTTCCTTCCCCGGACTCCTTTGACTTATCCAGCAACCGAGCATCTGGCGAGGTCAGAATTTCTCACCATTTCCCAACAAGATTTCTGGCATTGCTTTAACCAAAGGGGATATTCTAGACACTGTAACAAGATGATATTAGAAATCTAAACGCAAAACAGGCTTTCCCACATCCCCATTCGTCAATTATGACTATATACCACAAATCATTTTTTCACATTTATAGACTTCAATATTACAAACTGGTCCTTTTAAAAAATTACATGTAAATAAGGAAAGGGACAGCCATGGTACTGACGCAATTGCTCTTTTGGATGTGCAATGAAGAGAGATCACCCAAATGAGTTATCAAATGAGATCTTGAACTGTTTTCTTCTTCTTCTTTTTTTTTTTTTTTTTTTTTTGAGACAGAGTCTCGCACTTATCGCCCAGGCTGGAGTGCAGTGGCGCGATCTCGGCTAAGTGCAAGCTCCGCCTCCTGGGCCACGTCGTTCTCCTGCCTCAGCCTTCCGAGTAGCTGGGACTACAGGCGCCCGCCGCCACGCCCGGCTAATTTTTTTGTATTTTTAGTAGAGACGGGGTTTCACCCTGTTAGCAAGGATGGTCTTGATCTCCTGACCTTGTGATCCGCCCCCCTCGGCCTCCCAAAGTGCTGGGATTACAGGCGTGAGCCACCGCGCCCGGCAGATCTTGAACTGTTTTCTAAAGAACTTCAAACATTCATTAATCACTATTTGCTTTTAATGGTTGTTTGCAGGCTGATGTAGAGAGTGATCTACTTAGAACAAAGGTCATAAAGGGCCAGATTCAGCTCATCATCTTTTTTTTTGTAAGTAAAGTTTTATTGGAACATAGCACACCCATGTGTAAAGCGTTGTCTGTGGCTGCTTTTGCACTGCCAGGATTGAGCTGAGTAGTTGCAACAGAGACTTTATGGCCTGCAAAATCTAAACTATTTACTGTCTGTTCCCTTAACAGAAAAAGTTTGCTGACTCCTGATTTAGAATACTAGATTTCCAGAGCTAAAAGCATTCTTAGAATTTATTTCTTCTAGGGATTTCTAACTAGAGGACCATGGGCAGATTATAACACATAGATGTTAGGCTTTTATAGGCAGATACATTATTTAATTTTCTTTCAGATGAACCAATTTTTAAACATAGATGTTGCATAAAACTTTAGATTTCCATCTTCTCTTAGATATTTCAAAGCTCTGGGAACGTGAAAGCATAGATACTGAGCAAACATTGGTAGGAGTTGAGAAATGGCTTCTCCTTTTTGATAGGGATGAGTTGATATACTTTTCTGTGGTTTTTATTTCTCTTTCTTGTGTCTTTATCATTGAAGCCAAGTCTCAATTGTTATGTATCATTGCACTTGTAGTCTCAAAGTCCTAAGAAATTAATCTGTGGTGATATTACTATAAAAAGAGGTAAAGTAAAACATTGCCTCTAATTGTTGCATTCTTTATGAAAACTGGTAGAGGAGACCTCTCACCATAGAAATGAAGAATATTTTTCTGGGCATAATAGGCAAATATGTGGCCCTTTTCACTCCCTATATTTGAGGAATTGAAGTTTATCACCCAGTGTTCAAGTGTGATGTCCTCATGGTTGAGACGAGAAAACTGAGACTCAGGGAAGCAATGAGACTTGCTCAAGATCACACAATAAGTGGTAGACACAAACGAGAACCCAGGCTTACTAACTTTTGGTTCCATGTTACTTTATTGTTTGGCACCAATGGCTTTCATTCAAGAGTCCTGTCTCATATCAGAATTAATGCTTCCTTCTTGTATCACATGTTTTGTAACCTCCCTTTACTATGCTGAAATGAAAATCATAGATAATAAGGCCTATACATATAATTTATACACACACACACACACACACACACACACACCCTTAATTGCAGTTCAAGTGAGAAACGAGGCAAAGAGGAGGCATAGCAAATAATCCCATGTTGCACCTTTATGTAGAGCTGCTGTGAATACAGCACCCAATGGATATGGGTGTGCTATGCTGGCAACACAAATTGTGTTAATGGCATTGTCATGAGTGACATATTTTTCCATCTTGTCCTGAACATGGTCAAGTCCAACTTTCCCTTGGGTTACATGTGTGGAAAATCTGGGATACACTGCGACCGAGGAAAAAGGACTTGTGTTAATGAATAAAACAGGATTAGGTTATGGGCTCAGATAATTAACAGTGTTTTCACCTACATGAAAGTCTTGCAGGATACAGGGCAATTTTTCACAGTATGAGATTGTCCTGTTTAATTATAGGATATCTGGCATCCCTGGCCCTTGCCTGCAAAATGCTAGTAGTGCCACCCCTGCATCACTGGGACAATTAAAGTATGCTCCATACAAGCTTCTGACACTCCTTTTAGGGGATGATACTACTACCATGGAAACCCCCTGTTCTCAATTTTTCTTAGCTCCCTTCTGGGCTGTCTGGATGAATCTGTATAGCTGGAGAGATACCCCAAAGGACCATGGGATATTTTGAGCACTAGAAGCTATGCCTAATGACCCCAGTTCCAGGGGATTTGCCCAGCCTGCTAATAAGGAGCATCCTGCAGTGATTACTTAGGAGTAGATTAAGGAGGAAATTCTGCAAAGACCTGGAAACAATATTGCAAATGCTCATGTGTGTACTCTCAAGCATAAGCAAGTCTCTCAGCGGAAACCAGTAAGAGTGGGGTCTAGAGAGCCAGTCCCCAAAGCTTTCAGCATGCAGGGAAATGATGACCCCTGGGGGTATATCAACGGCCCAGGCATTAGGCAAAGCAGATCAGACAAGGCACTGCCCCGGGCAACAAGAGGGAGAAAGCTGGGCCTGTGGTCACTGTTAAGCAAATGAGATGCACAAAAGTCCCCCAAATTCTGGGCGCTCCCTTGAACAGTGGCTTAAGAGAGTCCTCCAAGATGTTTTTACCACATGTGCAAGAAATTAAAATTAGGCTTAAGCTCATCTGAAGAGTCACTTTGACATGGCCCTGTGGTAGGAGCAAAGCTGCTTTTTGGATTTAGCAAACATCTTAAACTATTTTCCAAATGATTTAGGTTCAGCAAGACCCAAAATGTTTTTTTTTTCCTTCAAGTACCTTTTCCCCCTCATTTTAAACCCTAGGGTATTTTGAAGAGAATTCAAGACACATGTTTCTGATTCATTTACACTTAACTCATCAACATGTTGTTTTGCAAGAGTCATTTGATGTCCAAGAAGACTTTTTGAAATATATATTAAATGTATGTACACAGGCACATTTATATTTACATGGATATATATGTATACATAAATATGTGTGTATGTGTGTGTGAACAGTGCCAGCTTTTCAATGGTGAAAACAAAGAGTTTAGAACCATGCTTTTGTGAACATCTGTCTTGTTCATGCTGATAAATTACTTTGAAAACTCTCTCTTTGGAGAAATGTCTATTCAGCTCCATTGCCCATTTTGTAAACTGGTTTATTTGTAGTTTTTTGCTGTTGAGTTGTAGGAGGTTTTTAAAATATATTTTGGATATCAATGGTTTGTAAATATTTTCTCCCATTTAAAATGTTAATATGTATCAAACATAAAATTAGACATTGGGAAAATGGGGCTGTTGCAATGAGCACAAAAACACAAAATCAGGTATTATCTGTGATATCTAGAGTCTGGTATAACTTCATCCAACATCTTATTGTATAGTCCTCAATTGTCACAATATCAGGACACTGTAGATTAAGGGACATTTAGTAACTTCAAATGGTAACACTTTATAAAGAGGACGCTTTAGAATCTCAGGATACTCTCCAATCAACTTTATCTAAATGCTTGAAACAATAACAAGAAATTTATATTTTAGACTTGCATTCCTAAAATATCCAGTAACTATCAGAGTGATAACCACCAATACTAAAATGTTATCCCAACATAATATAGTCAATATTCAATTTTTATTGTAGCCCAGTATTTTGGAGCAAGTACTACCACAGAAGTATCTTTACCCCTAAGATAAAACAAAGATAATACAGCTGAACTAATACTATGACTTTTATCTACCAAGATGCATTTGATAAAAGTAGCATAAAGCTTGACCAATCATGGCATAAACAATGCAAATAGTTGATTATCTCACCTGTTATTATTATGAACAAAAAAATAAACATAACATGACTCTTGTCCTTATGTCTGCTTTCTGCAGAGTGAGTGAGCTTACATGAAATATTCCACCAAAGTGTGGATGGATTTGATTTGACAAGACGGTGTCCAGGTGTTAAGATGGAGAGACAGAAAGGCAAGAAAATATCATAACTTCTAAGGTGTCATGGATCTGGCATTTCCAGTTGAAATCTCCCTCTCTTCCCCTGCTTCTCCTGTCATCTGATTTACAACTTCACTATATGGACCTAACGCAACAGAGAGTCCAAATGCACCCACTTAGCTAAAAGCCTTTGCCCAAGCTGTTCTGTCTGTTGAGGTCCTGTTGCAGATGCTGACGTTATGCCCATCATTTTCTCTACAAAGAGTCAGCCCAAATGCCTCAACCCCTTGAAGTTTTCCACAATCTTCCATATCAGTTAATTGCTCTTTGAATCTTTCTTCAGTAACATGATTGCAATGGACTGAATGTTTATGACTCCCAAAATTCATATGTTGAAATTCTAATCTCCAGTGGAATGGTATGGCGAGGAGGGGCCTTTGGAAGGTGATTAGGTCATGAGGGTGGAACACTCATGAATGAGATTAGTGTCCTTATAAGAAGGGCCCCAGAGAGCTCCCCAGCCCCTTCTGCTGTGTGAGGTTACATTGAGAATTCAGACATCTGTGAAGAAGCAGGATCTCCCCAGACATGGAATGTGCTGGTGCTTTGATCTTAGACTTTCCATTCTCCAGAACCATAAGAAATAAATTTCTGTTATTTATAAGCAGTTCAGTTGATGTTATTGTGCTATAGCATCCCAAAGAGATTGAGACAACTACCATAACTACTACTATTAAACTTATTAATCATTATCTTGGATGATTTGGTAACCTTGTATCAAATCGTGTGCTGAGCACTTTATACACATTATCTCATTTAATCCCCACAACCATTTATTGAGACTGTTACCATCATCATTATCTTTACCATCACTGCTATCATCATCATCCACACCATTGTCTTCCCGTTTTCTTCTTTCTCCTCCTCTTCTTCTCTTCCTCCTCCTGTTCTTCTTCCCCCTTCTCCTCCTTCTCCTTTTTCTTTTTCTTCCTCACCATTATTATTCTCACATTGTATGCAAGAAAACTGAGTCTGGAGAGGCCTAATAACTTACTCAAGCTCACAACTGAAGGAAGTGAATGAACTAGGACTTGACTCCCAGTCTTTCGACTTGAACTTCTGTCTGCCAACTTCTCTGTCAGCCACTCTGCCTAGCAGCCTCCCTGCACACTGCTTCCCTGCACTGTGCTGCATGGCTAATGGTGCACCTGCTGCCTCCCTTGCCAGCCTATCAGATATTTACAGTGATTTTGTATGATTCACACCTAACCCTCATTTTGGGCCCTGAGCCAGGCACACAGTAGGCCTGTGCTAAATATTAACACATTTTAAAAATTATTTTTTGTGGTACATATACACCATGGAATACTATGCAGCCATAAAAAGGAAGGAGATCATCTTCTTTGCAGGGACATGGATGAAGCTGGAAGCCATCGTCCTCAGCAAACTAACACAGGAACAGAAAACCAAACACTATATATTCTCACTCACAAGTCGGAGTTGAACATTGAGACCACATGGACACAGAGAGGGGAACAACACACACCATGGCCTGTTAGGGGGTGGGGGGTGAGGGAAGGAAACCTAGAGGACAGGTCAATAGGTGCAGCAAACCACCATGGCACACGTATACCTATGTAACAAACCTGCACGTTCTGCACGTATATCCAGTTTTTTCTTTTAGAAGAAATAAAGAAAAAAATTACTTTTACATCATTCAGCCTTAAAAAAAGAAGGAAATCCTGTCATTTGTAATGACATGGATGAACGTGGGAGACATTGTGTTAACTGAAATAAGCCAGTCTCAGAAAGAAAAATACTGCATAATCTCACTGACATGTGAGATCTAAAAAAGTTGAACTCCTGGAAGTAGAGAGTAGAATGGTGGTTACCAGAGGCTGGGGTTAGGGAAGGGAATGGGAGCTGTTGGTCAAAGGGTAGAAAGTTTGTTTTAAGCAAGATGATTAAGTTCAGGTGATCTATTGTGCAACATGGTGATTGTAGTTAATAACAATGTGTTGTATTCTTGAAAACTGCTTTAAAGACTTTTTTTGAATGGGCAAAACATTCACGTGGTTCATAAGGCAGAAAGGAGAATACAAATACAAAAAACAAACAAAAACAAAAACAAAAAAAACAAAACTCTCAATCCTGGCCCCTAGGCCTCTAACCACCCAGTTCCCATCTTCCTTGAGATAATCAGTTATGTTAGTTTCTTATTTATCCTTCTAGAAATGTTTTATGTTCACACAAGGAAATACTTAAATGGACTATTTTCCCCTCTTTTTATGTGCACGATAGTGTACTATAAATACTGGTCTGTGCCTTTATGTTAAGTATTACTGGTGCTGTTATTATTAGCTATTATTCAGCTTATTGAAAGGGTGATTTCAAAAAACAAACCTGTTACCTTTCTTTCCACACTCAGCAGAAAAATTTATTGAGGCGTGAGTCAAGTTGGAAGGAAAAGAATAATCTTCTCCTCCCAGCATCTCTATATGTTCATTGTTCTCTCCGTCCAATTAGACAGGAGTCCCTGTAGGACAGGCTTGGAATCTAATTTCCCAGTGCCCTCCACCCCACCCAAAACCCCCAGTGTCTGGCAAATCTGACTTAAATCCCAGAGGCAGAGGCTGAGGACCCAGGCTCCGATATTCTGAACACAGGATGGCTGGCAGCACTAACCCATGCTGTCTTTTACACATCTCAGCAGGTGGGTCAGAGGTCTTGTCAGGGGACAGTGGATTCAGGAGTTTAAAACTATGCAGAGACTTTTGGTCAATACCCAGTGGCTTCTGGATCTCCACATGGAATTCTAGTATTCACTTTCTTTGATCTTCTGTAAGCTCTCTCTAGTTTTATCTTTGATCAGCAATCTCACTTCCACTTTCTGTGTTGGTTGTCTGAAAGCCAGAGAGTTTCTGAGCAAATCTCTGAGCTTGTTGTTCCTTCCATCGAATGGGTTGGGAGGAAGGGTACACAAAGTACAATCTTTTTTTGCTTTTGGTGAAAAATTTTCCTCTTTCATTCTTATGGTAGCTTCTTGTAATCCTTACAATTTAAGGAAGGTGCGGTGGAGAAAGACAAAGTCGACCGGTTCCCCCAAAACAGCCTGCTGTTCCCTTTACATGAAGAAAGGCATTTCCTTTCGCCTGCTCTCCAACTGGGCTTCCCTCCCTTCTCCAAACCTCTTTTCTGTTTCTGTTCCACTTTTTATACCTTATGCCCCTGGTCTACCACCCAAGAGGTCTGGCATGGCACTTGCAGTCTCTGACTCGCAGTACATTTTTTCATACTCCCTCTGCCTCTTGAGTCTAGCGGCTTGCCCACGCTAAAAACTGATTTTGCCATCAGCCACCTACTCAAGGTTACATTTTCCGGTGCAATTTCCTTTGAATAATCCCTCTCTCCCCTAAGCAATCTTCATGCCTGGAGTTTACACCTCTTGTTTTCCCACCCCTGCCCCCAGATCCCTCTCACCATAATTCCCTCTTTCCCTCCTCAGCAATGACTCTACTTTTCCAATGAGGATTTCCAATCTGTAATTGTTTGAGAGAGCTGATGTCTAAGCTTGCGGCTTCTGTTGAGTTGGTTTAGTTGGTTTCAGGGATCCAGACATTTGTATATGAATTTAAATTGTAGGGACACTCAGCCATGAAGGATTTTATGTACTGTTGGCATAGACCCACTTGCCAACAAAGCTTCAAGACGTGTGTAGGTTTGGTAGAGTTATGTGGCATGTCTTGGAATGGTTTCTCACAGTTATGTAATTATTGGAAGAAAAAGGTTTGTGTGGGGTCTGTGTATATGTGTGTTTGTATGTATTTCCTGCTTCTTTGCTTTTCTTCTTTAAGAAAAAAAATCTTAATACAAAGGAATGTGTGAAAGGCACAAATGTGAAAGCTCCAGGGCCTTTGGATAACTACTAAGGAGTAAAAGGCCAAAATATGTGTAGCACAATTGTCTCCGTTCAAGCGCTAACAAGATGGAACAAGTCTTCCACACTCCCTGGGGATCCTGGCAGAGCAGTCTGCTGGATCATTCCATCTCCTGAACTTCTTCATAATACTAATCCCAATCAGTATTAATTGGTAAGTATGTGCTTCATGAATGCCTTTCCTTCAAAAATAAAAGCCTTATGAGGGTAAGGTGCTTACCTTGATACTTAGTCACAATATTCCCAGTCTAGTAGAGTAGCTGACATGCAGTAGGAGCTTGGCAAACATCTGTTAAGGAGTGAATGAATCTGGGTTTATAATTGTATCCTAAGCTTCTAGCATGCTTGATATATAGGAGGAGCCTAACAGATATTTTTGAAATAAATGAATGACTCAAGGCTTCTCTCAGGTCAAACTGCTCATTTGTCTTTGGAGGGGTTTTGGATTATATCCTGAATGTGGTGAGTGTCATGTTCTAGAAACTCCAAAGTCTATTACATTCCCTTGAAGAGAACAGATGGACAGATGTATAGGTAGTCAGGTAGGTAGGTAGATAGATAGATAACATAGATAACATAGATAATAGATAGATAGATAGATAGATAGATAGAAGATAGATAGATAGATAGATAGATAGATAGATAGATAGATAGATAGATAGATAGATACATACATACATACATACATACATGCATACATACATACATAGACAGGTCTTTGGTTTTAGCAACTATTTAACTTAGTTGAATTTGGAGTGCAAGTACTCTCTCTCCTTTGGTAGGCAGAAACTCAATTCTCTGTACAGTTCTTTTAGCCTTTGCTAGACTTCTTGGAGTCCACCCATGTGTGTATGGTTCAGGAGCCAACCAGAGATGTGAGTAGAGTTTACATACACAATCTGGAGGACTCCCTCTCTGGCTCTTTCCTTTCTGGACTGGTGCAATTGGTGCCTGCTCTCAGACTAGAATAGAAGCAATGAAAATAGGAAGCTCACTCAGTGCAGTTCTTTCCTTCCCAGTATCAACTCTTTTCTAGAATCTACCTGCTCTCAGTCACTCTCTAGTGCCTTCAGGTGATTATTTTATATTTTGTGCAAAATCTATCTATCTATCTATCTATCTATCTATCTATCTATCTATCTATATATCTATCTATCTATCTATCTATATATCTATCATCTATCACCTATTATCTACCTATTCATATATATATATTCTACCTATCTGTCATCTAGCTATGTATCATCTATCTAACTACTCTTCTATCTGTTGGTCTAATTAGCATTCTTGGCTGCAAACCACAAAGCCCAATTTAGCTGGTTTAATTCAAATATATATTTGTTAAAAGATATGGAGTGACTCACAGAATCCCTAGGAGGCCTGTAGAGTCAAGCTTATAGTGTACGGAATCAAGAATAATATCTAAAGCACACACTATGATGACTGCCCCAGTAAAAACTGCCATTCCTTTCTTGGCACCAACATCGCAGCTCATGTGAACATTGCAGTTCTCACCAGTGACACTGGGAACCAGATATAAAGATTGCTCACCATAAAATCTGGACACCTTTATCTCCACCATACCAGATGATAGATAACTATGCAAGCCTATTTTTATGCTGGGAGTGTCTGAATGGTGGAGCCTAGGCTAAATACATAACTGGAAGAGAGGCTGGAAAAATGAATCTAACTTGCCTTTTGGCAAGATAGAGCTCATGTGTGGGAAATTCTCTAAATAGAGGAAAATTTTCCAAATGATGCTAAGTGGCCAATACCATGGGAAAGAATCTACTACATTAAATATCCATCTGTCTATATATCATCTTACTATTATCCATCTATCCATCCACATATTTTTTTTTCATCTCTTGGGGACAGAAACTATGCCTTATTCATCAACTTATCTCCAGAATTTAATCCAGATCCACATTATACATAGTCAGCACACAACTGAAATTCAGGAAGCACTTGACTCTTCCACCAGCAATTCCTTTCCTTCTAAATCCTACCCTGTGTCTTTTCATTTTTATTTTCCAAAATTGGCATATAACAATTGTACATATTTATGGGATACAATGTGATGTCATGACACGTGTATACATTGTGTAATGATCAAATCAGGGTACTGAGCATATCCATCCTATCACTTATTATTCCTTTTGTACAGGTTAACCAACTTCTCCCTATCCCCTTTCCCTCTACTTTCCCCAGTCTTAGGTAACCCCTATTCTATGTACTACTTCTATGAGGTCAACTTTTTTAGATTCCACATATGAGTGAGATCATGTATATTAGCCTTTCTGTGTCTGGTTTATTTCACTTAACAAGATGTCATCCAGGTTCACCCATGTTGTCACGAATGACAGGATTTTATTCTTTTATTCTTTTTTATGGCCGAATAGTATTCCATTGTGTATGTATACCATATTTCCTTTATCCATTCATCCATTGTTGGACATTTAGGTTGATTCCATATCTTGGGTATTGTGTATAGTGCTGCAATAAACATGGTGTCCTAGATCTTAAAACTTCCAAACTGCTGTCTCTTCTAAGAAGCTTCTCCAACTCTGAATTTTCCTACCTCCCATTAGAATTAATCTCTCCCTTTTCTCTACTTCCAATAATTAATGTACATCACCATTCTAGTATCAATTGTGTGCCTTTTAAATTATCTATATGCAAGTATTTTTTTAACTAGATTCTGATTTTATGTCTTAACAACGATAAAAACTCACATTTGCACAGGGATTTATAGCTACAAAGAATTTTCACAAAATCTACATTTTATTTAATTCTGCCAGTGACACCATGGGGTAGGTTTAATTGTCATCTCTTTTGTATGAATCACAGAATGGTTGCCTGGAGAGCTAATGTCAACTGTTAACGGTCACAAGGATACATAGAGTGCTGAACTAAGCATTAGGCTGTAACTTTCAGCCTTTAGGACCTGAGCTTTTTTGTGTAATTGTTTGGAAAGGCTAAGCTTTGTTGCTGTATCAGGCTAATCTAAAAATCTCTGAGACTTAAGAGAATAAAATTTTATTTCTTGTTCATTTAATTAACCAACTTGCCCTAGTTTTCCTGGTTTTAGCATTGAAAATCCTGAGACCCAGGGACTCCCTCCATTCTGAACATGCAAACCAGGATGGTTAGTCACTCTGCTCATTCAGTGATAATGTAAACTTGGCATCCATTCACCATTTCATAGCTATGACTTCTGGAACACAGGGCCTCTGAGATCATGCCAGGAGAAGAGAGAATGAGAGAGCCACAGGCAATCTTTTTAGGGGCTAGGTATGAAAACGGCTTACATCACTTCCGCTCACCTTCCATTGGCTCCTACCTAACTGCAAGGGAAGCTGGTAAACATAGACTTCCTGTGTGTACCGGAAGAGGAAATGACATGAACAGACAGCTTTGTAATCGGCTTCACCACTCTGATCTCTCTCATCTTGGTATCTCCTTGTCTTAGTGTGTTCGGGCTTCTCACACAAAAATCCCTTAAGCTGAGTGGCTTATAGGCAATGGACATTGATCTCTCACGGTTCTGGAGGTGAGAATGTACAAGATCAACATGACAGCAAACTCAGTGTTTGGTGAGGGCCCACTTCTTGACTCATATATGGCATCTTCTCACCCCGTCCTCAAACAGCAGAAGGGGCAAGGGAGCTCCCTGAGGTCTCCTTATAAAAGCACTAATCCCATTCATGAGTGCTCTGCTTTCATGACCTAATCACCCACAAAGGCCCCTCCTCCTCATACCATCACCTTGAGGGTTAGGATTTCAACGTATGAATTCTGGAGGTGGACACAAACCTTCAGTCTATAGCATTCCTGTGGGTTCCAATATGGCCTTTTGTAATCTGGGGGGCAAGAACTGTTCTTATTAAATACAACTTACGTTGTGTTTTGCTTTAATAATCAGCAGTTCACATTCTTTTAAAAAAACCCAGAAAATACAGATAAAGAATGAGAATAAAAATAAAAATTATCCCAAATCCGACCATTACTAATATATGTTAATATTTTTGTGTATTATTTTTGTGGTTTTTCTACATATGTAGCAAGCATTCATTTTTTCCACAGAAGTATCACAGTGTATTTACTATTTTATGTCCGGTTTTCCTACCACCTGTAAGATTTTAAGAATAACTTTCCATGGTTATGTATACACTCTTTAATGGTGGAACAGTATTCTATTTTATAGATGTACTTCAATTTGTTAAAGCAATCTCAGTTTGAGGGGCACTCTAGTGTAATGGCTATGAGCACAAGGTTTCATTTGGGTTCAAATGCCAGTTTCAACACCATTCTTAGACCTGGGTAAAAGGAATCCCTGCTTTGGATGGACCCATGCTCCAGTGTTTACTGATTTCCCTTGAGATATCAGTATGCCACTCTGGCCCTCCTCCTGCCCCATCTCTTCCCATGAGGTGAGAAGTCTGTAGGGTGAGGACACGAATTCTTTGTTTTTTTTTTCTGGAATCCTACTCTGTCGCCAGGCTGGAGTGCAGTGGCACAATCTCGGCTCACTGCCACCTCCGCCTCCCGGGTTCAAGTGATTTTCCTGTCTCAGCCTCCCAAGTAGCTGGGATTACAAGCGTGTGCCACCACACCCAGCTAATTTTTGGATTTTTAGTGGAGACAGGGTTTCACCATGTTGGCCAGGATGGTCTTCATCTCCTACCCTCGTGATCCACCCACCTCGGGCCTCCCAAAGTGTTGGGATTACAGGCAGGAGCCACCGTGCCCAGCCAGACATGCACCTTTTTTTAAGAACCCATGCCCTCTTCTAAATCACATTCCAGATACCTGGGACACAATAATTTCCTGCTTTTGCAGCCCTAAATCTGCATCTAGGGTTGGTCCTGGCTTTTCTCTGGGCTCCCTGAGGATGATGAGATTTCCGGTGTATGTACCCTCAGACCTAAGGGGAGGTGAGGAGGCCACTGTTTAGGTGGAGGGGTCTCAATGGAGCTTCAATGTGCTTGTTGGCATGTCCACACACATCTGCATGTGTCTTCTGACAGCGTGGGATGAAACTGGGGGTGGGAAAAGAAAGGGGCCAGTTGTTGGCCATGGGCTGGTTCTCTCCACACCCCCACATCCGGGTAGAGTGAGTCAAGGAGTCTGAGGACTCAACATTCAGTCCTGGCCTCTCAAGTCATTACAAAAGCATATTTATTCAGATGAGACAATGGAAAAAATATTATTTGACAGTTAATTAGCTTGATTTATGACTTTTTAAATTTTTTTTAGATTTTTTTTCGAGACAGAGTCTTGCTTTGTCACCCAGGCTGGAGTGCAGTGGCGCAATCTTGGCTCACTGCAAGCTCCGCCTCCCAGGTTCACACCATTCTCCTGCCTCAGCCTCCCGAGCAGCTGGGACTACAGGTGCCTGCCACCATGCCCAGCTAATTTTTTGTGTTTTTAGTAGAGACAGGGTTTCACCGTGTTGGCCAGGATGGTCTCAATCTCCTGACCTCGTGATCCACCCGCCTCGGCCTCCCAAAGTGCTGGGATTACAGGCGTCAGCCACCGCGCCCGGCCTGATTTATGACTTTTCAAATGGTCTGAAGACTTTTCATTTGTTCCCTTGTCTTGGCCCTGGCAAAAGTTATGCATGAGCCTGCATGGCTCCATGTGCAGGCTGTGTGTAACTTTGAGCAAGTTGCTTAACCTTTCTGCGCTTCAGTTTTGTTAGCTCTAAATTGGTCAAAATAACAGCATCAAACTCATAGGATTATTTTCGGTATGAAATAAGCTAATTTAAGTAAAGTGCTTAAAATAGTGCTTGGTACATGGGAAACACTAAATATTTGACATGATAATTATTTTGGCTGTTATTATTGCCATTATTATTATTATTATTATTTTATTTTTTTAAATATTAGATTGTTCCCAGTCTTTGCAAACCTGAACAATAATTCAGTGAACACCATTTTAAATGAATATCTGTACGCATTCATAATCATTTCTTTAGAAAAAAACATTTGTTAGGAAATTTTAGGGTCAAGGAGGGTGCACATTTTAAAGTCTTTCGATATGTTAATGAGCTGCTTCTAGAATTAAATTGGTTGAACGTATTATTCATTAGCTTTAATTCCCTGACCGTTGAGGGTTTGGGCACTAAATTATCCAGGTTGTTAGTGACATTTCAAACTTAAACTCTTAGTGGGAGAATGAAAGAAAAGCTGGATTAACCCGAACAAAAACTAATTAATAGCGGTCCGCTTAGTCCAGGAAATCAAAAAGCATATAATGAAGTCAAATGCAAATCTCAGAAGTTCTTCAGTTAACTGTTGACTGTGTTCAGTGTAGAAGAGATTCTTTAGATCTTTTCCTTTCCTTGGGAAAGGCTGTGGCTGCAAGATTTTATCCCACCTCCCCCTCCCAGTCCTAGCTTGCCTCATTCACCTTCCAGCACAAGGGTTTTCATCCAGCGCCTGGAGGAGTTCTGCCTTCACTTCACTCATCTTTCCCTTGAGAAATCAATACGCTCCTGTGACTTACTGTCAGCCTTTGGCAGCTGGAGATTCAGAGAGGTGGCTGCATACAGCAGGTGGAGTTTTGGGGCAGGTGTTATTTCCTTTTGGAAATGAGCTCTGGAAAGGTGACAGAAACCAATGGAGTTGGATATGGGGTTTAGTTACTCCAGAAACCCCAGGAGGACAATATATCTCATGTATTTTCATCTGACTTTTGGGATGTCTAATTTCCACCTGTACCAAGTCTGGGGAAGAGGGACGACATGAATAATGCATTGCTGTTGGCCCAGGCTCACTCTGTGGCCTTCTCCATTCTGCCCTGTGCCCACAAAACTGACCCGCATGGGTTACTTCAATGGGCTCCACTTCTCGCTGGCTCCCATTTGGGTTTGGCCAAAGGGAGGCACCCACTGGAGAGTGGAGAGAGGGAGGAAAGAGGCTGGGGTTCGTTCTTCCCTCCAGGTGGTGGGTTTGCAGTGGCTCCTTTTCTCTAAGGAAGGCAGGTCACATCTTCTGTCTTCACTCTCCTACAGCTTCAGCTTTCACCAGGTTCTGATGACCTTGCAGGCATAAGGGTGGTAGGTAGTGTGTTTCTGATTTTCCAGAAGGTTCCTCATCATTGCTAGCTCCTCTTAACTTTGTCCACGGCATTGTGAATAAACTCTCTCCTTTGGGGTGTGCTGATTATTGCCAGGGCTCTGTTTAAGACAAAAGCTCCATGGATTTGGCTAACTTCCAGAAGGGGTCATGCCTACGGCTGTCACAGCACAATCAAGGGGCAGTAGAATGTGGCAGTTAAGAGTCTGGGCCTTGGAATCCAAGTGGCTGAAGTCCTGGTTCTGTTACTTCAAAGTTTTGTGACCTTGTACATGTGATTTTGTCTCCCTAACCCTCAGTTTTCTCATCTCTAAAATGCAGTTAATAATAGTACCTATCTCCTTAGGTTGCTTTTTTTTTTTTTGAAACAGGGTCTTGCTCTGCCACCCAGGCTGGAGTGCAGTGGCACGATCACGGCTGTCTGGGTTGCTTTGATGAAGCAATGAAATGGTACCTTTGAGTACCTGGCATATAGGAAGAACCATTGGGGAAAGGTTTACCATTATTATTATATTACTATCTGTTTCATTTACGTATTGTTGCATAACCAACCACCTTAGAGCTCAGGGCCTGCGAGCCTGCCTGTGGGCCTGTTCTTTGGGCAGTATTTAGTGAGGCTGACTTGTCTCTGCTTCATATATTGTCTGGAATCTCCATGGAGGGGTCTGCCTTGGTGAGGAGTGGCTAGGCCAGCTGGGTGCCAGGTGGTCGTGTCCTCTCAATTGTTCCCTGGGTGGTCTCTCTAGCATGGCAGTTCCAGGGTGGTCAGACTTCATACATAGTGGTGTCCTGCCTCAAAGTGAGTGTTCCAAAGTCTGAGAAGAAACTCGAGGCTTCTTTTGATTAAGTGTCAGAAGTCAACATCCCTTTTACCACATTTTATCAGTCAAACAAATCAATAGGGCCAGCATAGTCTCCAGTATAGAGGTATGAGAACTCACTTCTCTCCATAAAGGTAGAAGAATCTGTAGCCATTTACATTATTCATTGAAGGGAGCAGTGTGGGTTGTTGTGTGCTACAAATTAAAAGGAAAATTTGGGGATTTTAAGCCTACTTTTAAACTTTATTTTTTTCTTTCCTACTTTTATTTTAGGCTCAAGGGTTATATGTGCAGGTTTGTTATATGGGTAAACTGTGTGTTACAGGGGTTTGGTGTACAGATAATCTTGTCACCCAGGTAATGAGCAGAGTATCTGATAGGAAGTTTTTCAATCCTCACCCTCCATTCTCAAGTAAGCCCTGATGCCTATTGTTTCCTTCTTTGTGTCCATGTGTATTTGATATTTAACTTCGTCTTATAAGAGAGAACAGGAAGTATTTGCCTTTCTGTGCCTACATTAATTCGCTTAGGATTATGGCCTCCAGCTCCATCTATGTTGCTGCAAAAGACATGATTTCATTCTTTATTATGGCTGCATAGTATTCCATGGTGTACATGTACCACATTTGCTTTATCCAGTGAACCATTGATGGTAAGCTTACTTTTGAACCCAATTCAAATTACTTTTATCAACAACAACAACAACAAAAAGATAATGGTGACTTATTGTCTCATGTAACTGAATAATACTCCTCTGAAGTGTTATTTGATCTAAGACTCATGGATTGACTAGGCTGCCTTTCTCTTCAACTCTCAGGCACACTCCATCCACATGACAGGCATGGTGGCCAGTGGAGAACCACAGTTCACATTCTCCAGCTGAAAGCCACCATCTTTCCTATAGAAAAGTCCTGGGAAAGTCTGAACAATTTGCTTTCAGTTAAGTGTCCACTAGTGTGATGGAGGTGTGAAGGGATTGTTGATCCCAGTCAAGTCACATGAAGTGGGTTGCCAGCAGAGAAGGTGGGCTCTGAGACCATCACAGGAAGGGAAATAAGGAAACTGTGATAAAGACAAAACCAGTGTGGCCACAGTCTACCATAAACATCTCACACTCTGCTATTCTACACTGAATTCTGATGCTAACCACCAGCTGGTGTTAGCACCAAGTCCACAAGTGAAGGACACACTCCCCAGTAAGACTATACTCACTTCCGATGCTAGCCACAAGCTTGAGGGTGTCCAGGCCACTCACACTTCTGACCAACTGGCTGAAAATTCAAGAGTGCATGACTCTTGAAAGGGGCTGGATAATTTGCTAGAATGACTCAGAGAATACAGGAAATAACTATACCTAGAGTTATAGTTTTATTACAAAGGATACAAAATCAGGACTAGCCAAAAGGAGAGACACATAAGGCTGAGGTCTGGGAAGGTCCCGAACACAAAGCTTCCGTGCCTCTCCCCACGGAATCGGAGTACATCACCCTCTTGACACATCAGTGTTTTTGGTCATCAGGAAGCTCCATTAGTTTTGGTGTCTAGATTTTTTATTGGGGTTACATTGCATAGCAATGATGGATTGAATCATGGACCACATGGTCAAACCTGGTCTTCATCAGCCACCCCTCCCAGTGGTTAGGCTGTCTCGAAGCCTCAAATGTCTAACTGTGTGATTAGTGTTTCTGGTTGACCAGCCCCCATCCTGAGTCACCTCATCTCTTACCATAAACTCAGGTATGGTCTGAGAGGCTCATGAGTAACAAAGACTCCTATTGCTCAGGAAATTCCAAAGATTTAGGGTTTCCCATTTAGAAACCAGAGACAAAGCCCAGCCAAATTCCTTCCTTTTTTTTTTTTTTTTTTTTTTTGAGATGTAGAGACAAGGTCTTGCTCTGTCATCCAGGCTGGAGTGCGATGGTACAATCATAGCTCATTGCAGCCTTGGACTCCTAGGCTCAAGCAATCCTCCTGCCCCAGCCTTCTGAGTACAGGCATGCACCACAATGCCTGGGAAATTTTTTTTTTTTTTTTTGTAGAGACAGAATCTCATTATGTTGCTCAGGCTGGTCTTTAACTTCTGGCCTGAAGCAATCCTCCTAACTTGGCCTCCCAAAGCACTGGGATTACAGGCACAAGCCACCACAGAGCCAGCCTCTCACACTCTTTACTATGCCACACAGGCATTGCTTCATGTGAAATATAAAATTCCCTTAATAAAGCATCATCACACCCACTTAGAAATGAAGACATTGTGGGTATTCTGAGATAATACAAGAATTGAGCCCTTGTTTTCTTGAACCCATGTTTTTATTTAATTTTCTTTTCTTACTATACCCCAATACTTACCTCTAATGAGAAAGCTACTTTGTTGCAAATAACTGCCTCAGTCACCTCCATCTCTAACTGGCAAGTCCCAATTATTCTACACTAAAGGAATTATCAATTTTAGTGAGGGAATTCCACTCCTTTTGTCTTGTGGAAGATTCTAGGAGTTAAAAGTTCTGAGTTGCAGTCCCAGGTCTGCACATTAGGTCAGTTGGATGCATCCCCTTACCTCTGGACTCAGTTTCTTCATCTGAAAAACAGCTAGCCTAGACTGACTGCCACAGAGGATCTTGTGAGCTCTGAAAGTTTCAGAACTCACTGCCGCTCAGCTTTGCAATGTGGAAATATCACTTGCCATTGGGATGGCCTGGGAAAATTAAGAATACTTTCCAACAGAGGAAATCTACACCCAGAAATTCCCTCTTTTATTTGTCCATTCACAAATATATTTTCAATACCTGTATGTGCCAGGCACCACATGAGATGCTGGAGATGTAGCAAAAGAAAGGCATATTTAGAGCCTATCTTTATGAATTTAAAGAATAATGAAATCAGACATTAATCCAATCATTCAAACATGATAGAGGAAGTAGGGTGTATGGGGCATAAGATAGGGAGAACTAGGCTGGGCGCGGAGGCTTACGCCTATAATCCCAGCACTTTGGGAGGCCGAGGAGGCAGATCACGAGGTCAGGAGATCGGGACCATCCTGGCTAACATGGTGAAACCCCGTCTCTACTAAAAATACAAAAAAGTAGCCGGGCATGTTGGCACGTGCCTGTGGTCCCAGCTACTTGGGAGGCTGAGGCAGGAGAATCGCTTGAACCCAGGAGACGGAGGTTGCAGTGAGCCGAGATCATGCCACTGCACTCCAGCCTGGGATATGTAGCAAGACTCCATCTAAAAAAAAAAAAAAAAAAAAAAAAAAAAAAAAAGATAGGGAGAACTAACTTAATCCAAAATCAGGGAGGGCTTCCTGGAATAAGTGGCATTCAAGCTAAACGATATTGAAAAAGAAGGGTAGAGCAAGTGTCCAAGGGTGTTGCCGGCAGAGAAAAGAATCCCCATGAACACCACAGCTTGAAACATCCAAACTATCCTATAATAGAGGGAATAAATGTCCAGCCTAATTTAAGCCTTGAAGTTTTTGATTGAATGAGCAACTGGATGGCTGTATATCATTCCTTCTATTAAAATGTAAGCATTTTAGGGACAAGGCCGATGGATGCTTCTAAATCCTGGTACCTAATGTTGGGTACACTCCAGTTTCTCAATAAATTCTCTTTAACAAATAGTTATTGGTAGCTACGGACGCTGGTAGCAGGGGCTTACAAACTAAAACTCACACTTATTAAGTGCTTCCTATGTGCCAAGCACTGTTCTAACTGTTACTAGGATAAATTAGTTAATTCTGATAATCAACGTTTGTAAAAACATCCTCATTTTGCAGATGAGAAAACAAGGGCACAGAGAAGCTAAATAACTTTTCCATCCCAAAGTTTGTACAGGTATTAAGTGGTAAAGCCAGGTTTCAAATGCCAGCAATCTGCTCTCAGCTACTGTATCATGCCTGTGTTGGAAAAGGAAGAAACGCAGGATCTTACCCTTCAACTCAAACCACTTAAAACGGGATAAAAGTAATATTTGTGAAAAGAATGTCACATCATCTGACTTTTTGATTCTAAAGTTCAGTTAGACCAGATATATTAAGTCAGATATTAAATTTTTTTAAATGTTTCTGTGCAACAGATATTGTGGAAAGGAAATAGTGTGCATAATCTCATTTGATTTTCAAATAAACTCTAGATACAGGGGCTATGACTATAATTCCCATTGGAACTGAGATTCAGAGAGGCTAAGTAACTTGCCTCAACTTGCCCAGCCAGAAGGAACAAGGTGTACCCAGTTGATGTGAATGCAGGCCCTGTCCACTCCACTATTCAACTCTAAAGCCAGTTTATCCACAACCCGAGACAGAACACCAAGGTACTGTGGCTCAGCGTTTCATATATTTTAAGGCTTTATGTCCACTGGAGATCTGTGGCCGAGTCCAGACATAGCCTGGAGCCAAGAAGGTGTCTGCCTCAGTTGATAAGTTCCTTCCAGCCCTCGTATAGACAGCCAAATGCCTCACACCCTCCCCTGGCTCCTGGAGGAATGACTTTCACACTAAAGGGAGGTGGAGACGGTTCTTATCTTGACACTTCAAAGAAAGCCTTCCCCCTTGACATCTTCCTGCCCTAAATGGTGCTGATGTGGAAACCTGGTGATGAAGGGTTTGCCTCTTTCCTTTGATCCTTGGGCAAGCTGGGCCATTCCTGCTCTTCCAGGCCTCAGGAATGCTGGCCCCACTCGCTCAGCTTCTTGCTTCCTATAATATTTACAGCTTTAGATGGCTCCTTCACTTTTTCAGTTTTATCCAAAGTCAATTGCCAGGGGGGTAAGAACCAAAAAGAAAAGAACTCTGCATCTGGCGGCAGAGTATAAACAGTTTAATCAGCTGGATGGTTCTGAGGTTGTCAGATGCTTTTACTACTCATGATCTAACTCTGGGCCTAAACTTTCGTCCCTAATTTTGGTGTCATGGACCCCCATCATAATCTGTTGATAGCTATAGACACTCTCTCTGTTTTTAAATTGTGCACAAACAGTGAAATCTGTGAATGCAATTTCAAAGAGCTCACAAGCCCTCTGAAGCCAATCCCTGGATTTCTCAGAGGGTTTGTGGATTCAGATTAATAATGCTTCCAAGCACAACTACTGCCACTCAGAACAGGACAATAGTTACACATGCTGTTCTGGAGTTAGACAGACCTGAGTTGGAATCCTTGCTATCACTGTTTCTTCGTACCTTAGTCAAATTACTCAACCTTTATGGCCCTCAATTTCTCCTCTGTACAATGAAGATGGCTCTAGCCCACGTCTCATACAGTTGCCGTGAGAATTACATGAGTTAATGGATGTAATATGTTTAGCATATGTATTAGTGGTAGTAATAGCTCTGTTGGTGAGTACCATTTTTGCACATGATTTCCTGCTTCTTCAGATGCTGTCCCAGTAAAGAGACCTTCAGGAGAAGAGCTACTTTATGAACACAGGCCCCAGTTTTTTCATCTGACAAACGGGTTTGTCGTAACACCTGTCCTGCCAATGCACAGACTTAATCAGAAAGCACAACCAAGCTAAAAGAAAGGAGAGTGCTCTGTTAATTACAGATGCCATAAATGTGTGGCTCTGAGATCATTATCATTCTGTTTGATGGGAAGTTTTGTGGGTCTTGAGTTGGGGGTCTTCCAGATACTTGATATTTCAGGGAGATGGGACCAAGAGGGCTAGCTTCTTGGTGAATTACTAACCCTAAATTTCTTTCATGATGCTAATTAATATTTTACAAATTCATCAACTCAAACTCATAAAAAGTTATTCTCTGTTGATCTCCTGGAGGGAGGAGATAAGATGGATATAAAGGAATTCATTCAAAGTGCAAAAGAAAGGGGAGAGAGATATTGAGTCAATATGTTTATCTGAGCCCGTGAACCCAACTCAGCCCAGCTAAGCATTTTGACAGAAGGTTACAAAGCAAAAATGCTGGTGAAGAAAGAAGAGTGATCCATAAAGGAGGAAATTCTGATCCCTGGAATTAACCCAGCATCTCTCCATTCCTCCTTTTGCATGACAGGCACTCTTGTAGAGCCTGGAGAAATCAGTCTGAACGAGGCTCTGGCTTGGCTCTAAGGAGCGCTGAGATGAATAAGAATAATAGCAGCAATCATAGCAGACATCATGCTGTGCTCTTTCTAGTCGCCAATCACTTGCCAATATGTGCAGAACACCTACTATGTATCAGGTAATGAAATCAAGCTCCTTCTCTTTCCTTGGCTTCCTGGAAGCTGATGGAGTCCTTTTATCTTTGCCATGAATGCAGGAGACAAGTTAAAGATGATACCAGACAAAGAGTCATAGAAAAGCCAGCCAGGTGAGGAGGAGAGAGGGAGCTGTCAGCTGACAAAATTTAGAGAGCCCTTGTTCATCCAGTTCAGCAAAGACACAGTTTCACCATCCACATCATTAGCAGACAGCTGCATGGGGTTGCAGGTTAATTTATGGCCCGGAGATTGCTGCCTGTGGCATAATTCACCCAAGGAAGTAAGGCCTAGGTCAATATATGTTTAAGTAAAAAGGTTCTGGAAAGCCCCAAGGGGTCAAGCTGAGAAAGCAGCCTCCTATAGCCAAGACAGGAGATGCTAGGAGAAGCAAGAGTGGAACAGACAGTAGGAAGGGAAGGAAGGCGGTGAGAACCATCTAGACTCAGTAAATACAACTATTTTAGTCCAACTGCAGCCCTGTAGCAGGGTAAGAACAGGAGAGGCCAATGGAAGGAACTCATAGTTCATCTGCCTGTTTTCTTTCATTTAATCTATTTAACGCACTTAATGGAGTCAATGTTGTTTGAACATGTATGGATTTAGCATACTTAATATGTTTATTTATTGTATCAAGGGAACAAATGACAAGATCACATATATATATATATATATATATATATCTTCATCCACCCATCTCTTTCTCTATCTCTCTGTCATATCTGTTATATCTATCTATCCATACATCCATACCTCTCTCTGTTTTTCTCTTTCTATCATATTCATGTCATCATTATCTATTTACCTATCCATCTCTCTCTCTATCCATCCTCTCTCTCTTTCCATCATATCCATGTCATCATTATCTATCTATCCACTGTCTATCTATCTATCTGTCTAGAAAAAGATAAATAGTGCAGTGATAGAAATAAATAGCTGGTACAATAAAATTTTGATCTGTGCAATTTTGTCAGATTCTTTCATAGTTTTTAGAAAACTCTTAGAAAGGTATAATATTGATCTATTTACACACACACATTAGTTGTTGCTAATTAAATCACTTAAGCACTGCACTAAGTTTTATGTGTAGCATCTCATCTGATTGCTAACAGCAATCCTGCAAAGCATATAGAGTTAGTCCCATTCGAAGATGAGAAAACCGAGGCTCAGAGAAGAGGTTTTTCTGCCACTTAAATTCTCTGCCTCATCCTTGCCCCATCTGCATCATGGGTATTAAACTGTCTGACTTTAGGCATCCTGGAGCTTCTCTCAGATTTCCAGCTTCATATTCTCTAAAATGAGAGTTTGCAGGGCAGTAGAGATAGATGGACTTGGATAAGGAGTAAGTGATTTTCCTACGAATTTACATCACTTTGTTCAAGATGCTCCACAATGCAAGAAACCATTTGACTTTGGGGCACTCCTAGAAAATTCTCTGTAAGTGGTTAAGCTGGGTATAACAGAAGCTAAAGGTTACCGTGTGTCTACCATGTTCTTGAACCAGAAACCAGTAATTTTAACCACCAGCCTACAGACCTATTTTTTAAAGGTTAATTAGAGAAGTTGGGAGGGCAATAAGAATGAAGTCTGCAGCTATTATTACTCCATGTGACAGAACAATACATTGTCACAGAAAGTTTTCATCATTCTTAATTTCCAAACCAGGACACCTTCCAGATCTAGCAACTTAGCTTCATCCTTCAGAATTTAAACATCTACAGATCTTCTCTTCATCCCTCTTATCAGCATGAATCTGGATGCCCTTATCATTTCTAGGTAGTTCTGGCAGCACATCTTTGAGGTTCCTTATATGGTTTCTCTTGCTAGAAGTTTCTGGAACTAGGGTTTGAACATCATCCTATAAACTAAAACAATTATTTACAATACAAATTTATTTCCTTTCCTTATTCCAATCCACTGGACAGCTAAAATTTGGGAAATCAAACCACAATGTGACTGAGCTTGGAGAAAGCATTGCTAGTCCCATTCCCATTACATGAAGAAAATCGTAGCCACAGATTAAATCCTGCCTGTCTTGACTCTTCAGATGGAACATGGAATATAAGGCAGGCATTTTTCCAGAATCAGAATTTAAGACCCAAGACTGACTCACTGCTACGGTTTCGAGATTTCATAAACAAAAATAAAAGATGCTGGGTAAGCTTAAATACAAATAAATGGTCATTAAATTGTAAGTGTCAGTGTATCTCATGTAATATTTGGGACTCCATTTATACTAAACACATTCGCTTTTTAATTATCCAAAACTCAAATTTATCTGGGTGTCCTGTATTTTACCTGGCCATCTTAGTTGGATCAAAAGCTTGAACATGGGTGTGGATTTAGAAAAAAATTATGGAAGAATGATCAAGTATAGACGATTGGGTAGACCCATCCCAAATATTTCAGGTTGGATAGTGTGAGCAGACTGTTCTTGTGGCTATGAAAATAGCTAACGCTGATAAAAGCAATTCCAGGCATGAAGCTCTATGATAAGCACCTCATATGGAAGTTCTCTGTGGACTCCTTGAGATGGGCACTATGAATATCCCATTGTGCAGAAGGAGAAACTGAGATCCAAATATCTTGCAATCAGTAAGTAGATTTTACTAAGGCTGGAGCATTTTAGGAAGCAATGAGCCCTTGACATTTCTTACAGAGGCACAGAGATGAGAGATGACTTGCCTGGGGTCCCACACTAGTCTTCTACAGAGCCAAGATTCTGACCCTAAGTCTGCCTTTATCACTCCTCTCTAATTCCTTCCAAATCCCTACCAATGTTCTACTAGCTTTGATCCAACTCAGGTTCGACTGAGCCAGCCTTAGAGAAATTGAATTTCCTTAATAGGTTTCCCTAGACAAATCACTTGAGAACCAGGAAAACTCAAAGAGAGAAATAGGTGGAAGCTAGGAGCCCTCGATTCTCCTTCTGGCTGTGATACAAATAGGTTGTATGAACTTGAAAAATCCCTTGCTCTCTCAGACCCTCAGTATGGGGTCTGGAAAAATAAGGGGGACATACTCAATAGCCCTCCAAGTCGCTTCTGTGGTTGCACTCTGCGATGCTAAGATGCTCTGTCTCCTGCAAACTCCGGCATTGGAGCCTTGCCCTCACACACCAAGCATCTTAGGTTGATACAATAGACAGCAGACAAATCCCATTACAGACCACTCTGTGAGTCTCCACTTTGTCACTGACTGTTATGTGACCTTAAATAGGCATTCTCCGCTAATCTCCCCGGGCCTGGCCTCTCCTATTAGCAGCTGGAGACAAGGATATTTACCTGTAATAAAGCTCTTTGAGCTCCTCAGATAAAGAGCTTTGCAGTAACAATGCTCAAAGTGGATTTTTTTTTTAACGGACCTGCACACCAGCTTTGTTTTGTGTTTTGCGTGTCTCTCCCCGCCCCAACACTCCAGAGAAGTGCAAATTTTGCTTGCCTTCCAGGTTTTCTCTGGGTTAATTCATTTGTTTGCTTCCGAGTTCGAATAGGTCTTTCTTCTAGACTAGAGGTTCCTAGACTTTCTCAGTTTAGGGTGATTTTAGTATCTTAGTATCTTTTTTCATAAAGTCCATAACAATTCTGTTTATGAAGTCATTCACTCCAAAACTATTTAATATGTAAGTCCTAGCAATTTAGCACTGTTTGAAGAAGAATACCATGCATTGAAAGAAAAAATATTATATCATACTTAAATAAGCTGATTTACAGAGTAATGAGATATGGGGACCTGTTGGATACCATGGTTTCTCAAACCTTGGAATCAGATTGGTCACCATCACTTTAATTTTCTGTTCCACATTGATTTTCATGAGACACTTTTTTCTTTTAAAACACAGTCACTTGCAAAAAATCCAGCTTCTCAAGCAAGACAAGGAATTATCTAATGGATATAGTGAAAGTAGATGGTGTAGGCCCATTCCATTCTATCTCTCCTGATAAATACAACTAGAATCTCTAAGAAAGAAACAGAAAGGCACTATCAGAAGACTCTGAAAGGTAGAGAAAAGAAAGTAGATTAGCTAGAAACCTCAGCCTTCTATATGTCTAAACTTGGACACTAGAATATCCTGCAGCCCAGAAACACCAATGGATGCAGACCAAATTAATGGTCCCCCCACCCCGCAAAACACCCTACTCTTCTAGTCAAGGGCCTAGACAAAGGGCAGAACCTTTTTGACTGTACCTGCTCTAATCTAGGTGAACTCCATTAAAGATGTCCCATCCTTCTCTCTTCCCACTAAGTGCTGTAGAGATGATGGGGAAGCAGCCTGGTGACCCTCTCTGCCCTACGCAAGAGTGCTTCCATATTTGTATAGGAAGCATTCCTTCCTCTTTCCACCAGGTGATGTGATGACCGGGGTGGAGCCCTGCTGACCTTCCTGCTCTGTGTTAAAGCTAGCAGAGATAATGCCCTTCCCATCCTTACAAAAAAAACAGAGTTTTTGTATAACCATCCCCAAATGATGAAAAAGATATGGTACACCATTCTCCCCCAAATAGAAGGTAAAGAAGGGAGAGGATTACAGAGAGCCTCAAAAGAAAGTCTATTGCTCATATTATAATTCTATATTTGGACTGGAGATGTAGGGGAAAGGAAAATATTGAAGACTTGTGGGTGAAGGAGAATGAAGCAAAATTGTCTTTTATAAAATGGACATAAAATAATTGTACATTTTTATGAGGTAGAGTGTGGATATTTTGATTCATGTATATAATGTGTAATGATCGAATCAGGGCAATTAGCATATCCATCACCTAAACATTTATCATTTCTTTGTGCTGGAAACATTCAAAATTTTCTCTTCTAGCTATTTGAAAATCTACAATAAATTATTGTATGACCCTATAGAGTCATAGAACACCAAGACTTATTCCTCCCAGCTATGTAATTTTGTATTGGTTAACCAACCTCTCTCTATCTCCCCTGCCACCTTATAACTGTCTTTGAGGATTTTTTTGCTTCCAATCATGATTAGTAGTAATAATAACAACCACTCTTTATGGACTACAGCCTGAGTGCTCAGCATTTTCAATATATAATCAATTCACCTCCTTTATTATTTTTGCTGGAGTGTATTCTCTACCTAGAATGGTGCCTGGCATATCATGGGCACCCAAGTATTTGCTGAATGGATGAATGAATGAATGAATGAATGGTCACATATTTCAGTTAATTAGGAAACAGCTAGTTCTTCATTAAGGAAGACACTTTATTTGCTAGAATATTAACTATGTTTCTATATTTTCTGCATGTCTGAAAGGCACTTTTACCATCACCTACATTTGTATGTAGGCACCACTGCAATCTGGGATGTATTCATTGTCATCAACACATTATATGGATGGAGAAACTGAAACTAAAGAGGATGAATGACTTACTTAAGGTTACACAACTTCTAAGGGAGAGAGTCTAGAACTTTTTTCTATCAAAATGAGCCCCTTGTAACAGAAAATATGGCATATTTTAAATGTTTACAACTCAAAAAATATTTACACAAAAATGCAACACAGACCAATCATGCTATATACAAAATAATTAATCCTTATGTATTACAAATGTTTAGAAAAGGCACACCTGTTTAAGGTTTATGGAGTCAGTACATCTATGTAAATCTATGGTGAACCTTATTTTAAGATAATGACAAAAGTTTAAATTTGAGGCTTTATTGAGGTAAAATTACATGCTATAAAATGCTTAGATCTTAAGTTTACAGTTCAATGACTTTTGATCAATGTTACACTCAAGTAACCAACGTCCCAATCAAGATTTAAATCATTGCCACTGCCCTACAAAGTTTCTCCATGTTTCTCCAGCCTGTCCATCCACCCCTGCCTCCCAAAGGCAACCACTATTCTGACTGTTATTCCCATAGACTATTTGCTGACCTTGAATTTCATAGAAATGACTTTTTGCACTCAACACATAGTATTGTATATACAGTACTTATTTCAATGGCTATCCTCTGTTTTAATGTTTATGGATTTCTCTATATTTATCACATTCTTATTTATGGCAAGTCAAAATTTACTTAATTAAAAATAATATTCAGTCAATTATAGTGTAGGTGGTGTGTAGATGAGGATGATAGATTGGTGCTTGAGAAACACTGAATTCTGGCATGGTATTTAAGAGCACAGAGCCCATGCTCACAGATCCCTGGATCTCGACCACTTACTAGCTAATTGACTGGGTAATACACCAAAGCTTTAGTTTTCTTATCTGTAAAATGAGATCTGACTAATCCTCATAGGATTGCTGTGAGAATAAGATAATCTAACACAATGAAAGCTTTAACTCAATGTGTGACACACGCCAGTGGCTCAATATATAGCAGTTCTCATTAGATTAGGATGGTACGTGGTTAAATTATTAGGATTTTTCTTTTTAGCCTTACCGCTAGTATGACAACTACAGACTACTACTTTCTGGACTACCTCCTCCTGCTTCCCTTTGGGATGAGCTCATAGTGCCCTCCACTGGAAAATTAGAGGGGCGTTACTGGAAATGACCACTCCAGTGGTCCTTAGAGATACAGAAATTCCTCAAATTATAGGCATTCTTTTTATGCCCAAGTTGTCAATTAAAGGGATATTTGTGTTTAATGTATTTTTTTCAGTGTTTTACTATATAAGTCAAATTTCCCGCTTTGGCTGGAAGCTGGAAATCTGGCGCTTCTCCCTTCCCTTTACACCCGAAATTTCTCTTCGAGCTCCTCTCTTGTGTATGTCCTTATTTCTACTGCTTTGAATCTGAGTCTCGCTGCTTGAAATCATGTAAAAGTCTCTCCATCTCTAATCTTAACTTGCTCACTCATCTTACCCAGCGCAATGGTTTGGACTTTCAAAATGCAACACTCATTGGGCCCCTCCTTGTTTGAGACTTATTTTAGGGCCACGGTATCCAAAGCCTTGGAGGGGCTGTCTCTTGGTTCCCCTCCCATCACTCTGCCCCTAGAACTTCAAACTCCATTCCGTAACTCCACAACATTGAACTACTTGGAGCTTCTTTCACTTTTTGCTTTGTTTCTCTGTCCCCTTAAATGTGCCATTCCCTTGACCTAGAAGCTTTTCTTTCTGATTGTTTGGCAAACTTCTTTCTATCTATCACAACCCTACTTAGCTATAACTTCTGTAAAGATATCCTCACTATCACTCTCTTTCATCCCTTACTACTTCTTACTACTTCTATTGGTTCAGTTATTGCAGAATTTGATGATTATGTGTTTTATGCTGGCAATTAGCACAGATCAGAAACTATTAAAATTGTACTTCATTTATTCCTCACAATATCCCTCTGGGTTAAATTGCTGTTATTATTCCCCCATTTTACAGATGAGAGGTATAGAAACACTAAGTCACTTCTCCAAGGCCGCATAACTTCATAGTGAGCTCCATGACTAGATAAATGTATTGAATGTTGGATGCCTACCTACTCTTACTGATAGGCTCAAGATGGTTGGAAGGTTTGGAAGACGTTAGATTTTTATCTTCTTCCTCTTCTGCTTCTTTCCTGGTTTGACTGGAGGAAGGAGAGCTTCAAGTCTGGACAGATCATGGCTGGTGTATAATTCAAATTTCAAATTCAATCTTCCTCAACTCTGTGGCCAAAGAATACAACTAGAATTCTTGGTGTCAGCTTTTCCATCTATACACAGGTAGGATTGCCAGATTTAGCGAATAAATAAAGAAGAAAAGGATACCCAACTACATTTAAATTTTAGACAAACAATGAATAATTTTTTAGTTGAAAAACGTCTTCAATATCTCATGGGGCATAATTATGCTAAAAGAGTATTTACTGTTTATCTGAAACACAAATGTCACTAGATGTACTCTGTCGTATCTGGCAATCCTACACTTGGGATAATACTACCTCTCTGGCCAGAGAATCCTGGTAGTCACTAAAGAGAGGAAGCTTACTGTATTATGCATCTGTGTTTTGCCAACTATCCAGCATTGTACTTTGCATTCATTAATGCTTGCAATCACCTTGGGTAGTGAGTGGGTATTAGCGGCATTCATTTTATAGATTTATTTTCTAAGTAAGATCTACCACTTATTGGATTCTTACTATGTACAGTGAGACAGACTAAAGATAGGTGTAAGTTCTTTGACATTCCTTCCATTGAGAAATGTGATCTAGATCCCCTCCCATTGAATCAAGAGAGAAAGGTGATCTGCGATTGCTTTGACCAATAGAGTATGGTGGAAATGATGCTTCCACTTCTTGTCTTTGGGGATGCTCACTTTGGTGCAAGCCAAACACCATATAAGGAGTCCAACTACCTGACACTGCCATGCTGTGAGGAAGCACAAGCCACATAGAGAGGCCCTCCAGGGACTCTGGGGGGATAAGATGCCAGGTGGAGAAAAAGAAGCTCATGTGAATGAAAAAGACATCTGAGAATTAAATCCCCCAACCCTAACTTAGTGAAGTTAGCGAATCCTCAGCTAAATCCATGTGTATAGTAGGTGAAATTCCCAGCTGTCTTTCTCACATTCTTAACCTACAAAATCACATGTAAGATAAAATGGTTGGTTTAAACCACTAAGTTCTGAGGTTGCTCATCATGCAGTAATAAGCAATTGGACCAAATTCAAGACCATTTAATGAGTCCTGGCCTCACCATTTATTAGCTCAGTGACCTTGCGTCTCAATATCTCACCTGTAAAATAAGGATAAAAACCCCAATTTTTAAAAAGGGAAAATTCAGGCAGAGAATGAGCTAGTAACTTGTTCAAGTCCACACGGGGAACAAGAAGCAGATCTGGAAAAAGCCCTCATCTGCTTGTTTCCAAAGCCTGGCTAATGTTTCTCCATTTATTCTTCATTCTCACTACCTTCAAAATCTAAGCCTCAGTTTTCCCATCTGTAGAACAGGGATGCTAAGAGTACCTTCCTTATGGGATTATTCTGTGTATAAAACACATACACACACACACACACACACACACACACACAGTGCTTAGCCTAGTGCCTGACATAGAGTAAGCACCCGATAAACATTCATGATTATTACTATTTTCTTATCTCCCCTGCCGAGGCTGACAGTGAACATCAATCCCGTGCTGCCTCCTTTCTCCAGGTCTCTAACTTGCGGGAAACCTCATCAGGAGGGCATCTTTAACTGAATGAACAACCTAGAGCACTACTTTTTAATATTTGATGAATTCCTGAGGCTCTTGGAGAGCAATATGAGAAATATCATGTAAAAATCTATTAATGTTAATAAGATACCACCAAACAGGTTGGCCATTATCAGCAATTAAAGTTTTCGAGCAGGTCAAATAACTTTTCAATGATTTGTGTAGCTTCCTTTTCTGCTCACCTTTTTTTTTTCATTTTAATGGAAATATGTACTATTTTTCTGTTTAAAGTCCTGGACCTTGGCCTGTCCTCCCTCCCAATTCTAACCAGTGGTTTCAAACACTAACTACGTGTTTATATTCTCTGCTCATCCATCACAGATGTGAGAACTCCAAGCTCCAAATGATAGCTGAGAAATTCAAAGTTGGCTGCCAAAAAGGATAGCCTTTCAAAAGGAGCTCTCCCAGGTTTTCTAGGCTTTTTATGGTCAGGGGAGGTGAGGGGAGAGTGAAGGAAGTTATCTCACCCCATCCTTTCCTGATGGGAGTAGAAAAGAGAATTCACATTGCTGTGGTGGTCAATACACGCCACGTCCCATGCTACGCAGCTTCCCATATGTCTCTTATAATATCTTTACAGTAAAACAGAAGAGCTTTGCGGTCAGATTGAAAAATAGAGGCTCACAGAAGTGAAGCCAGTTCCCAAAGGTCGCACAGCTAGCCAGAGGTCAGGATTGGAACCGAGGGTTTTAAGATTCCAAAGCCTCCAATGGTCATTCATTTTGCTTACTCTTCTAGGGAGCTGGTCCCAGAGCAGAAACAACTGGTGATGAGATTTGGACTTCAGACAAGCCTAGATTTGAACCTCACTTCTGCTACATATCAGCCATCTGGCCATCTGACTTCATCTCTCTGAGCCCGTTCCCTCATCTGAAAAACAAACATTGATGCCTAAGGGTGGTTATGAGAATTGAATAAAATAAAGTTTGTAAAGAACTTTGCAAATAGCCCCGTTGCACAGAGAGTGACTAAAACATAGTAGCTATGGCACCCTGCTGACCTGCACACTTTCTTCCAGGTCTCCTCTCTTTCTTGGAAAGGAAGCCTATGTTTCTCAACCCCTTTCTGATGTCTGTCACCTGGAAAATGACTGCTTACCTTCCATGGTCAAGCTAAGCCAAGTTATGTCTGGGATCTTGCAGAGCTAGGGGATGAGTCTCTTGGTTTTCCCAAGCCTCCAGCTGTAGTACTAGGCTCACACACGGTTGGCTATGGAATGTACTTTGGTACACTCAAGCACTGACTTCCCTAACATCCACCAAATCCATCCATCCTTAGAACAGCACAACTAGAGCAGATCTCCTGGCCCATCTACTGTGGAGTCATTGGTTTAAGCAGCAGCAGAAGACAGGCTATGAAATACACAGGAAACTTTAACCATTTTAGCCTGGTAGTGACATATGTCACTTCTGTTAATATTTCTCTGGTTACAACCTGTCACTCAGCTTTTCTTAAATTCAAAGAGGCTGGGAAGTGTAGTCTCTCCTATTTGCTTAGGACAAAAAAGATAGCTAGCACTGGTGATAGTAATGTCTGCCACAGTGCCCAATTAATATTTGTTAATAAAAGACTAATAATAGCAGATTTTTTAAGCTCTTCCTATGCCCCAGGTATTGTGCTAAATGGGTGATTTATTATTATCTCCTTTAATACTCACAGAAACCCTATGTGGTAGGCATGGTTATGATTCTCACTTTAGAGATGAGCAATTGGAGGCCCAGAGAAGTTAAGTCAATCACTCAAGTTCACGGTTCGAAGTAGAGGAGCTGGGCTTCAAGCCCAGTCCATTAGATCTCAGATAACACCCTCCCAATAGTGAGTAGCCCATATTTATTGTGAGTGCTACTAGGAGGGCACATCAGCTACCCACTATAAAATAAGGCAGAATGTTGCAAGCCAAAACGAGGCCACAGAAGCAATGGTTAAGCAGAATGGAGTCAGTTTTTCCAAGGGCGGCAGGCGATCACAGGATCATTTTGGGGGAAGACATGGTCTTTGAATTGTATCTTGAAGGATAAGAAAGAGGTTGTCAAGCAGATGAATGACAGAAGTACATCTAGCCTGAGAATGCCTGCTCCATGAGGACAGGGGCACTGCCTTGTTCACCACTGTATCCTCAGTGCCTAGAATACTATCTGTCATATAGTGTATGCTCATTAAACACTTGCCCAGTGAAAGAACAAATGAAATGAACCATGATATAGCATAAGTTCTTCAGTGATCCCAGCAACAATTGTCAGCAAGAAAAGGGGAGACTGAATTATCTAAGAATGGGGCAAGTGAAGTATTCTTGGAAAGATGAAATTTGCAAGAACGCCTGTCTCGGATTCTGGGTATGCAGGTAGAGGCATTCATATTCTGGGCTGGTATCTTTCAGAGAAACTCGTAAGCTGGAAGAAAGCAAAGCAAGTCAGACAGGCCCTGGTGGTATCCAATTCTGAAGGTGCAGGGTTTGAGGAGCCCCCAGCTGTTTCTGATCACAACCAAGTTGTGTGTCTGCCCCATCAGCATCCTCCTGTTTGGGAGACAGGAACAGATGAACAAAATGTGGAGGATGGACATGAGCAAATGCCACATTTGCAGAGCAATTGCTGGAGGGTCACTGAGACAGGAGACTGGAATTTTATCTCAGTTAAATCCCATTGAGTTTTCCCAGATTAGAAAGAAGGCTTCATTTTCTTTGGAGGATTTGTTTTTTTAAGTTTGCCTTCTCTGTACATGATCTCTGTAATAATAAACAGTAATAAAAGTGGGGTGGTGGTGGTGGTGACTATCTCTCCTCCTCTTTCTTAACAAGGGAACTTTACAACATCCTTTTAAAATATGATCTGGTAGTTAGGTCACTGGTCTTTGAGATTCTTCCCAAGAAAATTAGTTGTTTTCATGTTGGCGTCTCGGTGCACAACCCTCTCTTGGCAGGTCTTTCACGGATGATGTAAAAGACAAGAAATGTGTCCAAAACCCAGGCACACCATCTTTAGAGCTTGAATTTTTAGACTCACAAACCCTTTATATCTGCAGCCTTTGCGTATCTGGTCCTCACTGAATCATGCCTAAGAGCCCGCCAACTGAACACTCACCTTTTGTTTAAGCTATTCTCTTTGCCAGAGAGTCTCCATTTCTTCCTTGACATATGCTGCCTGTCCAAATTATTAGCAGCGTTTCATGTGTGACTTAGCTGCTATCTCTGCTGTAGTATAGAGCAGAGCACAAAATAGGTGCTCAACTAGGCTTTGGCTGAACTGAGGTTCAGGTGGCAGAACTGAAAACCTTGAAGACTAAGCTCTTTTCATTACTCCATGTTGCAAAGGACTAAAAGGGAGTAGAACAGAAGCTTGACGGGGGGTCCTCTGGTGATGTCAGCTAACACTGCTGAGTCCTAAATGCCAGGCACTGTCCCCAGTGCTTTGTATGGATCAGCTTATTTATTACAGCTTAGGGTGACATTCTGGGGTACGTGGGAAAATCCCAGCTTATCCTCCATGTCCCAGACCAATTCTTTACAGAGTTGCCATCCACTCTCAAAATTATCCTGGTTAACAAAACAAACTACACAGGCTCACTCAGTTTAATTGTCATGACGGCCCTGTGAGATAAGCGCTATGATGATCTTTGCTGTACAAGTCAGGAGACTGGGATTCAGAGAAGTGCAGTGGCTCGCCTAAAGTCACACAGTAGTAAGAGGTAGAGCTTGGATGTAGACAGATCAGATTCTTATTACTGAAGGTAGAATAAGAGGAAATACTCTTTACCACCCAGAGTTAAAGAAGAGAAGGTAATGTTAAAAAAAAAAACCTTGGAAACATTTGGGCCACGCAACATACTTTATAGGTTAGGGTAAGATTTGGTCCACCCATATATTCATATAATATGTACTTACTGAGTGTTAGTGTGTACCAGGCTTGCAGTTGCTGGTGCAGAATCATGAATTAGACACATGCACACACACACACACACACACACACACACACACACACACACACACACACGTATGCTTTCCGCCCACAGTGAGTATGAAGCCTGGTGGGGAAAACAGATGTGGAATTACACCAAACATTATAACCAGAGCTTTCTCCTATACTACACCCAGTTTACTCTAAAAGACAGGCCCAAACTGTCTGCTTTTTGACAAATCCAAGATATTGTGGAGCCTATGGAGTGATTTGGAAAACATAAAGAAAGAATTTTTGGCAACAGTAAAAATCACCCATATTTCTGATTTATCTTGGAAACAAAAATTGTGGGTGTGACAATATCTGGCCCCTCTTCGTCCATGGCAGAAATTAATTCAACGAAGTAGCAGTTCCCCTCTTTAAATGAGAAATACACTCGAGAGTTCAGCAGAGGCCCCATCTGGGCTACATTAATCATTCATGTCACCTTGTTGGCTTCTAAAGGCATTTGAGTTTACAATTCTTGCTTTACATATAGTTTCTTCCTTAAGTTTCCTTATGAGCTACTTTTAAATTTTTTTAAGGTTTTAAATATACCTATTTCCTGAGTTTTCTATTTATGTTCAACATGTTGAATTGTAGGAATTTCTTTTAGAAAAAAAAATAGCTTTCTGCATGCTACAACTGCCTTAGGTGATATCCAAGGTAGACGTCACTAATCAATCATGACCCTCCTGCCCATTGAAGTGGCCACAATGTCTTCTCCACAGCTGTGGGCAGCCATTACTAATCAATCAGAATTGGCATATATGATGAAACTCATCTGCTTCTCTAAATTTTTATCTATTTAAATGCCTTAAATACTGAGGAGTATATTTTATTCTTCTTTACTTACACCCTATTTCTCAAGGTGGGTATCCTGGTAAGACTTTCCAAATGTGGTGGCTGGAATAAACTCTACCAGGCAGGCCTTATCTGAGCCCATGTGTCTGCCCACAGGGTTTACTGGGCTTCTGGAAAAGGAGCCAAGACTTCTGAAGGGAGGAGAAGGGAAGAACAAAACAGCTCCTGGAAAGAATGTTCCTCTCTCTTTTCTTTTTTTTTCTCTCCATCTTGCAAAAAGGTAGAAAGAACAATACCAGCCAGCCAAAAGCTCATTAATGCACTTGACCTTCCAAAAGAAAATTAATTCCAACTTCACACCTACCGGCTGTGCTGCTCGGCTTTGTCAAAACGTTGGCATCATTAGAGAGGAGATGACATGGCTTGAGGGGACAAAGAGTCTGCCACCTCCCCATGCTAGGCTGAGTTAGCAGGAGCTGGCAGGAAGCACGCAGAGGCGCCCGCCCTGTCAGCTTTTCACTGTGGATTAGGCTTCCTTCTGTTGGCTCTGGAAATTGTTATCACTGTCGAGCTGCCCCGATGATTCTTACCAGGCTCCCTGACAGCACAAGCCTGCAGAGGGGTAGCCTTCCTGGGGGCTTATGCTGGAAGGCTAGCAGACCGTGCGTGTGTGTGTGCATGTGTGTGTGTGCATCTGCATGTGCCTGTACGTCTGTGGGCGTGTGGGAGTATGTGTGTGTGAATTTGGGCATTTGTGACTGGGGAGTGTGTGTGTGTGTGTACTAGTCAGGCTTCTCTAATGAGACAGAACTAATAGGATAGATGTATATATGAAGGGAGGTTTATTAGGAGAATTGACTCACACAATCACAAGGTGAGGTCCCACAATAAGCCATCTGCAAGCTGAGGAGCCAGGAAGCCAGTGTGAGTCCCAAAACCTCAAAAGTAGGGAAGCCGACAGTGCAGCCTTCAGTCTGTGGCTGAGGGCCTGAAAGCCCCTGGCAAACCACTGGTGTAAGTCCAAGAGTCCAAAAGCCGAAGAACTTGGAGTCTGAAGTTCAAGGTCAGGAAGTGTCCAGCACAGGAGAAAGATGGAGGCCAGAAGACTCAGCCATTCTAATCCTTCCACGTTCCTCTGCCTGCTTTTATTCTAGCTCTGCTGGAGGCTTATTAGATGGTACCCATTCAGATTGAGGGCAGGTCTGCCTCTCCCAATCCACCGACTCAACTGTTAATCTTCTTTGGCAACACTCTCACAGACACACCCAGGAACAATACATTGCATCCTTCAATCAAGTTGACACTCAATATTAACCATCACAGCGTGTGTATAGTGTGTCTATGTGTGAATATGAGCACGAGGTATGGTATGTATGAGGTCTCAGGCTGGGCCAGTGTGCGTATGTGCGTGCTTATGTACAGGTAAATGCTTTTGCACACATACATGTGCATTTTTGTATGGATGCGTGAGTGAGCTTGTATGCATGTATGTGTGTATATATATTTGGGCAGAATGTACATGCCATCGTGTGCATTTATAGGTATGTGTGCTTTGCCAAGTACATACATGTGTGTAATCTATGTAAGGTAACTCATGTGTATGCATGTTTAGGATGTTTGTGCTCATGTAAGTGTGTAATTGTAAATGTTTTGAGTCTGTGCACACATGAGTGTGTGTGAGTGTGTGTTGTTATGTGCGCATGTCCACACTCATGTATATGAGGTTGTTTACAGTGCTACTTTTGTCCTCCCCACAAAATCTCAGGGCATACTTGGCCACCAGCAAATCATAGACACCAAACTCCCATCCTTTTATTTAATGACCTTGATAGTTGATTATTTATAAATTATGGTAGTTATTATGACAAAATGCAGAACTTTTTGGACTTCTGGACTCTTATTATTTTGATTTTAAATGATTATTTTGAAGTTTATAAGACTTGGAGAGATCACTATCTTTTCATTGTTTGGGGCCTCTAAATATCTCAATCCAGCCTTAATTTACATGTAGGCCATAATACATTGCACATGGAAGTGCATGTGTGTTTGTGTGTGTGTGTGTGTGTGAGAGAGAGAGAGAGAGAGAGAGAGCATATTTGTGTATTCAAATGAACAGTAAGTCCCTATATATGAGAGCAAAGGCAAGTAGTTCTCCATACACATTCTTGGCCAGGCTTTAGTTTAATGAAAAAATATACACAGAGCTTCATCTGGATCAAGTACCATTTTAGGTGCTGGGGAGAGAGATTTGAGAAAGCAGCTCCTGCTCTTGGAGAGGGTTCCTCATTTTTGCCAAATCTAAATATCTGATGCAGGTCTTCATGGCTCTGGGTGGAGATGGATTCTGATAACATGCTCAGGCTCAGGAAAAAGAGGCCACATTTGATTAGTGATGTCTGCCACAGACACAGGATGTGGAGATTGCAGCAAGTATGTCATTTATTTGCCAGAGTCAGAATATCACGCCCCAAATGACTCTTTGTGGTCCTGTATTCAATTTCTTCACTTTATAGCTGGAGAAATTCTTGGTAGAAAAAGAAAGGAAGTTGTTTAAAGGAGGGCTGAGCCTAGAGTGAGGGAAGCAAGGAGCCTAGCATGCAAAATTTAAGGAGGCACTCACATTCAGGCCTGTGAAAATGCCAGCCCTTCACTTACACGACCCTGAGAATAAGCACCTCCTTAAATTTTGTGCCCTAAGCGTCTCATTTGTCTAATGTTAGTTCTGGCTCTGGTTCAAAGTTATCTTTTCAAAAGTCACCACATACTCTATTAGGAAGAATCACTGCCTCTTTACAGAAAGTTCAGTGCCTTTATTTGCTAACACTCATTTGGTTAAAAGTAATAGAAATCAACTGAAGCTTGAGAAAAATGGGACTGGAATGTCTCATAGAACCACAGAGCAGATGTTAAGGTAGGGAAAAGAAAGGCCTAGAACTGGGACCCTGCGGAAATTTCTCTCTCCATCTCCTGCACTTGCTTCTTTCTTCTTTCTAGGCTGAAGGGCTTCCCTTGCTCCATCAGTTCCAAATTCTGAGTGTTTAGGAAAACTTACTTTTCTTACCTATAAGGTAAAACACTGTTTCTCACTTTCTGGCTGTCTTACCTCATAGGGCTTTAAAGAATAATGTATATAAACCCCTCAAGTGGCTGACAGGGAGTAAGTGCTCAATATATCTTGGCTATCCTCACTCTCATCACCATTATCATTATCATCACTACCATCATCATCATCATCACCACCACTACCATTACCACCATCATGACTATAATAAACATCATCATCACCATCACCACAATCATCATTATATAATCATCATTACCATCACCACCATCATCACCATCAGCATCATCACCATCACTACCACCATCGTCATCACCATCAGCATCGTCACTGCCATAACCATCATCATTACCATCAGCATCGTCACTGCCATAACCATCATCATTACTATCAGCATCATTACCACCATAACCATCATCATCACCACCATAACCATCATCATCACGATCAGCATCCTCACCATCACTATCACCACCATCATCACCATCAGCATCATCACCACCATAACCATCATCATCACCATCAGCATCATCACCACCATATCCATCATCATCACTATCATCACCATTATCACCCATCACCATCACCATCAGCATCACCCTCATCATCGCTACTACCACCACTACTACCACGATCATCACTATCATTATTACCACCATCCCCATCATCATCATTTCACATTCCTTGCTCATGTGGGCTTGGAAATATTGGGGAATACTCCCCCGTACTTCCATTTACCACATGGCATATTTCCAACTTTATGGAAACATTGACTTCCTCCTGCAATGCCCATCCCAAATTCCTTCGAAAGGCACTCTGATTGGCATTAGAAACGGCTAATTATGATCTAATCAACTATGGCCATGTTGGGTACAGGTATTCAGGGAGGCTATTTCTAATAGAATGGTGCAGTGTAGTAAAGGGATGAACAAGGCATATACCCCCAAAGTGGCCTAAGTTCTTAAATATTCCTTGGTTTGGTTTTATTGGAACACAACCAAAGAGGGTGGAGAGTTCTTCTGTGCTATTTTGACCTGTTTTCAATTTATCCCCTCAACTGTTGAAGACCCTAAAAATGGTTCAATCTTCTCTACAATTGGGCTTTCCTGGTCCCAGGTTTTGAAGTTCAAGAAAAGCTGCAATTAGTTCACAGTTTGTTCTGATCTAGTAAATGCCACTGAGCCCACTGGACCCAGAATAGGTAGGTTTTGTGGTGCGTGGGTAGCAGGGGTGAGGAGACAGCAGGAACAGGAAAATTCTAAAACTTGGAGTAATTATGAATCATGATGGAGGTAGAGAGAAGAGAGACCTAAAATTCCAAGTAGAATAGGAGCCCAGAAAGGGAAGATAGCAGCAGAATATAGAAGGGAGTCTGGAGTATAGCACTATTGTCTACTGGAGGAGGAGGAGAAGAAGGACAGGGAGGAGGAGGGGGAGGAAGAGGAGAAAGAGGAGGAGGAGGAAAAGAAGGAGGAGAGGAGGAAAGGAGAGCAAGGAGGGGAAGAAGAAGGGCAAGAAGGAGAAGGGAGAAGGGAAGGAGGAGGGGGAGGAAGGGAAGAAGAAAAAGGAGAAGGTGGAGATAAACAGGCAGTGGTAGTATTGGATGAAAAAGAATGAAAATGGGCCGTGCACAATGAAATCCCAGCACTTTGGGAGGCTGAGATGGGTGGATCACTTGAGGTCAGGAGTTTGAGACCAGCCTTACCAACATGGTGAAACTCTATCTCTACTAAAAATACAAAAATTAGCTGGGTGTCATGGTAGGCACCTGTATTCCCAGCTGCTCAGGAGACTGAGGCAGCAGAATCGCTTGAACCTGGGAGGCGGAGGTTGCAGTGAGCCGAGATCGCGCCACTGCACTCCAGCCTGGGTGACAGAGCAAGACCGTGTCTCAAAAAAAAAAAAAAAAAAAAAAAAAGAATGAAAATGGTAATGATGATGAAGATGAAAATGATATTTCTGAGGGCTGCCGAGCTTCAGGGAAGCCAAGGTCTAGCTCACACATCCTTCTGAAACTCGCCTTCTCTCCCTCATTATGCCCTAACCTACAATGCACACCTGCCCTCTACCCCACCCCCCAGCTTTCCCAGGACAAGAAGCAAAGAAAAGCGATTGGGATCCCCCAACAATAATTCCAGAGTTCTGGTTCAAAGGAGGGTGGTCAGGTTTGGAGAGCTCTGCCCTGAGGTAGAAAGGGGAGGTTGAGAGCAGCTGGTGAATAATTGATCCGTGTGGCTGGGCGGAGGAAATTGCTGATCCCATATCACCAGGCCCTGGAGGTGGGGATGGGGCCCCCATGACACAGGATTGAAAAATACATTAGCAGCTTTGCCTCTAGTACTGACATAAATATATCTGACTTCTCCCTTTATCCATGAAAGTCATGGAGATGATAATTAAACTAACTCCTGTGTATTCAAAAATTACCAAATTTCCAGGTGCTATGCCCAGCTTTTACCTATCTTTTAATTCTCATGTGAACACTATGAGGAAGTTATTTTTATTAAGTAGAATCTTATGAAATAGCAAATATTCAAAGTTTTTTAAAGTATGAAGCAGATAATCATATATAGTACTTACTACTATTAGGAGGAGGAGGAGGAGTTGAATCTCAGAGAGATGAAATAACTTACTCAAAGTTACCTTTTTCTAGCATTAGGATAAACTCCTAACCATGATGGGAAGTTCATGTCTTCTGAATATTCATTACCTCCCCAGCCTCATTTTACAGGTACTTTCCTCTCTCATCTTCTCTGAGCCTCAGTTTCCTCACTTGTAAACTGAGGATGGTAACCATCCACTGAAGCTGACATTTATCGAGCATTTAGTATACAGCAGACACAGTGCTAAGCATTCAGCCCCTATCACCTAATTTTTTGCTCCTAGCCCCTCTCTGATATGGATGTTATTCCAAGCTTCATTCTTCTAGGGTGTGAGGAGGTCTAATTCAGTGGAAACATGCACAGGTCTGAGCTCAGGTTCTGCACATAGCAGAAGTTAATGTTACTCTTATGATTGTAATCCCTCTTGCATGAGCCACAGCCTCTGAACAGCAGGGCAGAGTGTAGCCTGTTACCAGGACTTAGCTCACCTTCCTCCTAGCCCATTGTGAATGCTTGTAAGTCAAGAAGAGGTACCACATTCCCAGGAAATCAAAGGCAGGAAAGGAACTTAAGACTTTCTGATTTCTTATTATGGAACATCAAGACATATGTCTTGCTAATAGAAATGACTCTTTATGGTGAGCGTGATGAGCATGATGAGCTGTTATTCCACATCCTCTTCCTGAAGCATGTGAAGGACAGTGAAAGGAGGTGACTAGCTTGATGAAAAAGCTTGTCCCGGCTGGGCGCAATGGCTCACACCTGTAATCCCAGCACTGTGGGAGGCAGAGATGGGTGGATCACTTGAGGTCAGGAGTTCAAGACCAGCCTGGTCAAGGTGGAAAAACCCTGTCTCTACTAAAAATACAAAAATTAGCCAGGTGTGGTGGCATATACCAGTAATCCCAGCTACTTGGGAGGCTGAGGCATGAGAATTGCTTGAACCTGGGAGGTGGAGGTTGCAGTAAGCCAAGATCGCACTACCGCAGTGGGCAACAGAGCCAGACTCCATCTCAAAAAAAACAAAAAACAAAAAACTTGTCCTACAGTGTTATTTTGATCACCTTTTTCTATTGTTGGTTCTTTGGCTAAACCATTCATACACTAACCACTTACTGAGTGCCTACCATAGGTCAGTCCGTGTTCTAGGTGTATATAGTGGACCCTGATCTCACCAACCTCCTGTTTTGTGCATTCCTAGGTCTTCAACTCATTGAAAACTGCAGCCTGAGACAAGCATCCTAGGAGCTGCTCTTCCACCAGGAGCTAGTCCAGCTCTGATGATTGAATTAGATTAAATTGCACTGAGAAGAATTGCACTGAGTTGCCCTGAGATAGAAATGGGAAATGAAAGTGCAGGTGGGGACTAGGATACTGTGAAGACATACTCTGACTTCCAGAATCCCGCTAAGCTCACAGCCAGGCACATTGTAGGCATATTGCAAGATGCTCAGAAAATGTGTGTCAGATGGAAGGGAATGGGAGCGCAGAAGTTCAGCATGGCCATGCTCATTCACATTTATTCCCAAGTCTGGCTCAGGTTTGGATGGGGGAGAGGTAGAGCCTGTTTTTATTTGCTGTCGGTTTGGTTTGATTTTCACTGTATCAACTTCCCTGGAAGGGAAGGGGCCCCTCAGGTGAATGGCGAGGAACCCCAGATCAGGCCTGGCTTATATTCTCATAACTTTCTCATATTACTGGCTCTGGATACTGCTGCACAGGCCGCCTCATTGTGTAAAAGTCCCCCAAGAATCCTGGTGCACCCTCCGACCATCCTAACTCCCCACAAGATGACCGCCTTCCCAAGCATAACAGCCAGGAATTCCCCGACGTGAGTGACCCCAAGCACATAAAAGGTGCACAAAGGCAAAAAAATAATAGCTTTCCTTTATTTCACACACCGCCCGCAACGCAACGCCATAAAGCATTTGATTTAGGATATTAAATGCCGCTGGTGATGAGAACGTCATGTAAGATTTGCTTTGCGACTTCTTTCTTCTCAAACTGTCATTAAAAATGATTTATAGGTGAACCCAAGTCTGAGAAACAACATGATTAGAATCAAGGGTTTGGGAAGGGGATGGTGTGGGGATCAGATTTCCAGGGCAGCCCCACTATCCAGTCTCAGAGACGGAAAAGGCTGAGTGTGAGACCCAACCGCTAACGATTTCAAAGGTAAGTGCACATGCACGGAAGGAACACGTGTTCCTTGCTGAGATGAAAACAATGAGGCCTTGTCAGACATTTAAACTGCTGGTTTCAAAAGGTGGATTCTGGAGGAGGGCCGGGCTGGAGAACGCTTCTTCTGCAGTAGCTGACTTTGTCCAGTAGCAGTCTGGCTGCTTTCAAACTAGACTGGAAATCAGGGGTGTTGTCGGACTTTACAATAATAAAAATGTAAAGGTCCAGTCCCATGCTTTACCTTTATTATTTGCCTGACACTTGGGACAGCAACCCTAGGTGTCCAATATTTAATATTATTGGTAACATTCCTGTTTTACAGATGAGGAAACTGAGACTCAGAGAAGTACAGTGTTTTGCTCACTGTCATACAACTAGAGTGAGGGGTGGAGCCAGCCAGGATTTGAACCCAGGCAGCTGAGCATCAGCGCCCACAGGTTTAAACCCATTCTTCTCCATTGAGTCCCAGCTTCTGACTAAAAGTCACTCTAATTGCTCCTCTGCTTCATCTTGCCCATATCTGTCCCCTTAAGAAAATTGCCATTCATTAAGAACCCACTGTAGGCCAGATATTCTGCAGAACGCTTGCTATGTTATACTTAATCCTCATCTATTACCCTGCAAGACTGAAGATGTATTTTGCTCACTCAACAGAAAATTGAGGTCTAAGGTCACACTGCCAGTAGGCAGGGAATGGAACCAAGTTGGCCGGATTCTAAAACAAATCTGCTCATAGTAAAACCATACTATGCAAAACCACACACAAGCACCTTTTTTTGGGGTCTGAGAGTAAGTGTGACCCTCTGGATTGGAGGCTCCTGGACTCATAAAAGGATCTAGACTTTAGGGCAGGCTGGAGGTTGCTGGAGACTCTGGGGCCTGACCTAAATGTTTAGGTCTGACCTAAATGTAAGACCAGAACCTGTAAAACTAACTAGAAGAGAAAATAGGCAAAAAGCTCCTCAACATTGGTCTTGGGAATGATTTTTTGAATATCACAACAAAAGTTAAGTCTACAAAAGCAAAAATAACTAAATGGGACTACATCAAACTGAAAATCTTGTGCATCACAAACAGAACAAGCCAAAAAAAAAAGACAACTGGGAAAAATACTTGCAAGGCACATATTTGATAAGGGGTAAATATTCAAAATTTATAAAGAATGCGCTTACAACTCAACAGCAGAAAAACAAATAACCCAATTAAAAAGTTGACAGAGGACCTAAACAGACATTTCTCCAAAGGAGACAGAAAAACGTCCAACAAGTATATGAAAAAGTGCTCGACATCACGAATCGTAAGGGAAATGCAAATGAAAACCACTACGAGATACGACCTCTTCACACTTGTAAGGATAGCTTTAGAGACAAGAGATAACAAATGTTGACGATAGTGTAGAGAAAAATGAACTCAGCACATTGTCAGTGGGAAGGTAGATTGGTAGAGCCATTATGGAAAACAGTGTGGAAGTTCCTAAAGAAATTCAATAGAACTATCATATACCCAGAAAACCCTCTTCTGGGCATATACCCAAAAGAAATGAAATCACCACCTTGTAAAGATATCTGCACTCCCATGTTCATTGCAGAATTATTCACAATAGCCAAGATATGGAAAAGACATACATGCCCATCAATGAACAAATGGATAAAGGAAATGTGATAAACATTTATAGCCAATGAAATACTATTCAGCCTTTAAAAGAAAGGAGATCCTGCCATTTGCCACAACATGGATGAAACTGGAGAAAATTATGTTAAGTGGAAAAAGCCAAGCAGAGAAAGAAAAATATTACATGATCTCACTTATTGTGGGATATAAAAGAAAGAGCTCAAATACAGAGAAAGAATGAAACAATGGTTACTGGGGTGGGGTCAGGAGGAAAGAGGGAGATGTAGGTCAAAAGATTCAAAATAGTAGGCACATAGAATGAATAAGTCTAGAAATCCAACGTACAACATGAGGACAAAGTTAATAAAATTATATTCTGTTCATGATTTGTGTTCAGTAAGTAGGTTTTAGATGCTCTCATCACAAAAATGTAACTATGTGAGATGGTAGATATGCAAATCTGCTTCACTACTGTAATCATTTTACTATCTATGTGAATCCCCCAATAACATATTACAAATCTCAAATATACAAAACAATAATTGTTTTAAAAAAAGACTAATCTGAATTCACGACAGTCTTCATCCCATGCTTTCTAGTCTTATGTAGTGATGTTTACCTTTCCTTTGAATTGAAAGTGATAGAGAGGCAGGAACGAGTCTGTCTTGTTCCCTGCTGCATCTCCAGAACCCAACATGCAGACATATTGCATGTCCTGGAAAATGTTTGTTGAATGAGCGGAAAAGATAGGAATGATGAAAGAAGAAAACGGTAGAAAAAACAGGAAAGAGAAAAAGAGGAGAAAAACGATTCATTTGAGATTGCAAATGGGAGAATCTAGCCATAGACTTGTTTTGTGTGTAGTGTTTTTGTCAGTCATGATAAGCTAGATTACGCTGCAGTAACAAACAGCTCCTAAATTTTAGAAGCATAAATAGAAAACATTTATTTATTGCTCATGCTACATGTTCATTATGTTCCTGCTGGTGAAGTCAGTGGGGTTACATTGTTTATTTGTTATTATAATAACTCAAGATCCTAGCTGGAGGCCTTATCTCTATATGTGTTTCCATAGTGAATAAGGCAATGGGAAGAGTCTGGGTGGATGGTGCAATGGTTTTTATAGTTTCCACCTGGAAGTGATGAGTGTCACTTCTGCTGACATCTTACTGACCAAAGCAAGACCCGTGGTCATGCTTAACTTCAAGGGGACAGGGAAAGTGTGATTCTATCTTGCTCCTTGGCAGGGTCAGTTCTGGAATTACTCAGTAAATAGCACCAGTGAAAACCACAGCGTTTAAATATTCTTTAATTAGTTGCCAATACTTAATGACTAAATATTCTGTGTAAATATAGATGTCTGGCTTCTCTGCACAGAATTGGGAGATCTGGCAACATGAACCCATTGGCGCCAAGCAGGGGTTGCCTTTCAGAAGAAGCGTGCACTCTCAAGTTCACTGCTGGCCCCACCTGGCCCACTTCACTCATTTTGGTTTGGTGCCTGGCTCCTAAGAGCATTTGGTGTGCAGAGTCCTGGTTTAGAAGGATGAAAGGAGCCACTCTGTGTTGGCTCAGGCATTTTGTTCCCAACACCAGATGCACTTGTAATCTATTCCCATCCCAGAGATGAGTAATGCATGCCGTAGAAGTGCCTTGTGCAGACCTGGGATCAGGCGTGCTGGCTGGAGCACTCAGGCTTGTTGGCAACAGTGGGATTGTGTAAGCCCACTTAGGGAGTATTTAAGGGATTCACGGTGTGGGGGAGGGAGTGTGAGTGTGTAGGAGGAATAGCAGAGCCCATGCCCCTGGTGAGGGATGCCCAGGCTGATGGGGGTGAAGGCCGGCAGCTGCATCTCCTGGGAAGTCTCTTATTCCATTTGAACTTGCACTGCCCACACAATTCCTCTGGAATCTCAGCATCTCTGTCTGGAGGAGGCATGGGAACCCGCCTATGCCACCAGCAGCTTGGGTTAAGATGATGGTTTGTTCTCAGTTGTGACCTAAGCCCAACAAGGTGTGGAAGGACTATGATGAGAAGGTGTAAGGTTGTACTCACTAAAACCAAGTGTTTCAGTCAGGTTAGGTTAGATTCTGTCGCAGTAACAAACAATCCCAGAATTTCTGTGACTTTAAACATCTAGAGGTTATTCTCACTCACTGTTTTCACTCACTCTACACACCAATCTTGAGTCAGCAGGGCGACTCTACTCAGATACCAAGGAGAATGGATCAGCCAACATCTTAAGTAATCAGTCTCCATTCTAGAGCAAGAGAGCTCAGCAGGGTGTCACATTGGTCCTCCAATACTCTCACCCAGAGGTGACACATCCCTTACACTCCAACTCGTTGTGTGAAACTAATTGTATGCAGCTCTTGAGCATCAGGGGGTCAGGAATTTCAGAGAAGCAGAAATATTTGGTCAACAGAATTAGTGAATGACTGCCATATTGAAAGAGGAATCCACTGGTTTTATCAACAGAATTCTGTAAATATAAAGATTCTGGTCAGAGGGGGTGGCTGATGCCTGTAATCCCAACACTTTGGGAGGCCGAGGTGGGAGGATAACTGGAGGTCAGGAGTTTGAGACCAGTGTGGCCAACATGATGAAACCCCATCTCTTCTCAAAATACAAAAATTAGCCAGGCATGGTGGTGCACACCTGTAATCCCAGCTATGTAGGAGGCTGAGGCAGGAGAATCGGTTAAATCTGGGAGGCAGAGTTTGCAGTGAATCAAGATTGCACCACTGCACTTCAGCCTGGGCCACAAAGCAAGACTCCATCTCAACAAAAATAATAATGATAATATAAAAAATAAAATAAAATAAATATAAAGATTCTATTAGACATGGACTTCATTGTCATCAGTAATTCAAAGCACCAATCTTCAAGGTTCATGGCCTTGGTACTTGCCATACCTTTTGACCAGGACACCATTTCTTCTGCTCTCTGGTTTGCTTCTTCTCAGCTCAACTACCATTGCCGTGCACAGGTCTTCCCTGACCACCTGCTCTATCTAATATCATCCTCCCCATTCCCCAGTCATTCTATAATATGCCATTTTTGAAAATTCTTCTTCCTTTTATCACTGTCTAGAATAATCTTTTATTTTAAAGATTCTATGTGTATGTGCTTGTATTTATTTATTTATTGTCCTTATTCAGCCTCCCACTTCAGAATGCCAACACCATCTGAGCAGGCACCATTGATCACCTGCATAGCTATATTCACACCATCTTGGACAGCGATAGTACATAGTAGGTGTTCAACAGATTTGGATGAAGTATACATGAAATAAATATATGCTCAGCAAATATTCATGAATGAACATATCCATGATACAACCGGTTTAATGAGTAC